>NC_000006.12:49150909-49453939 GCF_000001405.40 Homo sapiens | reverse complement strand
AAACTGTAATTTTATGTTAGGTTTAAAGTTACATAAATGTACGTGCACTGATCTTAATTCAAATTAAGTTCTTCGAAATTAAAATATAGACCTTGATTTTCTAGTGTGTGATACAATTAGTTTTATTTTCTGCTCTATATTGTTAACTTTAATTAAATTCTGGACCTAACGTTACTATTTTAGGTTGTCTTTCTTCTGGGGAATTGGAATGAATTTCTATATGGAAATAGCAAAGATGAGAGCTGGTAGAAGACTCTGGGCTCACTTAATAGAGAAAATGTTTCAGCCTAAAAACTCAAAATCTCTTCTTCTAAGAGCACACTGTCAGACATCTGGATGGTCACTTACTGAGCAGGTATGTATATAATTTAAAATGTAGAATTTTAATAAAGTTATATATATATATTTTTTCTGAGCAATGTGGCACAAGCAGGAAATAGAATTAAGAAGCTATCTGTTAATATTTGAAATGATAAATATTCTGAAGCATAATGTATACTTAGGTTTGTAATTATACATAATATAATAAATAAATAAATAAAAATTGTCTCCCTCTGGTGGTTAACAATATAAAATCACTTACATCCTAGCTTCCCTGTAGTGCTGAAACACTTGTAAAAGTAAACAAGGCTGGGCGAGTTGGCTCACACCAGTAATTCCAACATTTTGGGAGGCCGAGGCACCCAGCCTGGCCAACCTGGCAAAAACCTACCTCTACTAAAAATACAAAATTAGTTGGGCGTGGTGGTGCATGCCTATAATCCCAGCTACTTGGGAAGCTGACGTAGGAGAATCACTTGAACCTGGGAATCGGAGGTTGCAGTGAGCCAAGATGACGCCACTGCACTCCAGCCTGGGCAACAAGAGCACAACTACGTCTAAAAAAAAAAAAAAAAAAAACAAAGAAAGAAAGAAAACAGAATTTGATGATGAGAAGGAAGCAAAAGTCATAAGTTAGTACTCTCATATAATTGTAAGAGTTATAATTCTTAACATAAAACTGCCTATTTAAAATTAATTATATATACATACATATTTTATGTGTTAAAGTTATGTATTTAAGCAAGCATGCAAGCAGACTGTTTAAAGACTGTTTTTACTTGGGTAATTTAATTTGTTCTCTTAAAAATTGTATAGTTATGGCCTTGTTTTTATACATGTTCTCTTTACATATGAAATTATTTTGGTACATTTAAAAATAATTTATATGTGCAAAGTTACATTGCTTTTATACATTTAAATGTTGAATAATAACTATTATACTCTGTATGAAATAAAACTTCAGGTTCTTATAAATGGAGAAATAGACCTGGCACAGTGGCTCACGCCTGTAAATCCCAGCACTTTGGGAGGCCAAGGCGGGCAGATCACAAGGTCAGGAGATCAAGATCATCCTGGCTAACATGGTGAAACCCCGTCTCTACTAAAAATACAAAAAAATTAGCCAGGTGTGTTGGCAGGCACCTATAGTCCCAGCTACTCAGGAGGCTGAGGCAAGAGATTGGAGTGAACCCGGGAGGCAGAGCTTACAGTGAGCCGAGATTGCGCCACTGCACTCCAGCCTGGGCAACAGAGCGAGACTCCGTCTCAAAATAAATAAATAAATAAAATAAAAATAAATAAATAAATACATGGAGAAATAAGAGATTTTTAGGGTTGGAAGGAACTTTAATAATCATTTTTATTTTAACCTGCTTATTTTTTCAGCTAAAGAAACTGAAGTTCAGAGAGATCCAATGACTTGCCCAAATCACAATTAGGCATGCAATAAACTAGAACTCAAATTTCTGATATCTCAGTTCATTGTTCATCTATTTTATTAACATTTATTCAGTGCCTGTTTTGTACACATCATTGTGGTAGATACTGTGAGGTAGACAAAATAATCAGCAAAGAGTGAATTATGAAATGAAGGACTATATAATCTTAAGTAGAAAAAGAATGCATTGTTGATATACTTATAGAAAAGTATTTAGGCAATATAAAAGTAAGCACAACAATATCTGATATTTCAGAGGATTATAAGAGGCACTAAACACTGAACTCTGACTCTTCTAATTTTGGCTTCTAAACTAATTTGTCTGAATTTATTTGCTATTCTGAAGCTTAATATGGAAATTGACATAGAAAATATGCAGCAGTTGCTGTTTAATCATGTTGCTGTTTATAGTTGCAATATCTATCACCTGTTTCTTTGAGTTTTTGTTTTTTATCAAATATTTTAGGATCCCTACAATAATATTGTCCGTACTGCAATAGAAGCAATGGCAGCAGTATTTGGAGGGACTCAGTCTTTGCACACAAATTCTTTTGATGAAGCTTTGGGTTTGCCAACTGTGAAAAGTGCTCGAATTGCCAGGAACACACAAATCATCATTCAAGAAGAATCTGGGATTCCCAAAGTGGCTGATCCTTGGGGAGGTTCTTACATGATGGAATGTCTCACAAATGATGTTTATGATGCTGCTTTAAAGGTAAGTTTTTCCACTTTGCAACTTTGTTTTCAGAATTTACAGATTTGTAAAGATTTATAGATTTTAAAACTTACAAGTCAAGATTTATAGATTTTAAATTTATAAATCAAATCACTTACAGATTTATATAATAATTTAAACGATGTTTGCAAAAAAAATTCAGATTTGATTTTATAGTTTTCAAAACAATCCATTTAAAAATACATTTCTATTAAAGTATTTTATTAAAAGAATTAAAAAGACAGCTAGTATTAAAAAGCTCATACAAAGAACAGCAGTTTTTGATCATCCACTTGTTTTTTCCTGCTTCCTGGAGTAAGATACATACTTCTTTGCTTATTTTTGTTTTTATCTGCATAGTTTAAAATCACATGTATACTATTTCTTGTAATTTTATCAACTGTAGACATTACACATGAGACCTTAGACACTATCTATTGCTTTCCTAGTAGGGTAGTTTAGATTTTGGCTGATTCATACCCCTACTTTTCCTCCTCCCTTACTACCAATATAATTATATCTCAATGTAATCTTTTCTGAATTCTTCTAATGTTCTCATTTGACTTAAATTGTTTTTTCTCTATTTCTGCTCACTATTGCTGTTCTTTGACTCCTCTTTGCCATTATAGTAGGAATATATTTTCATTTCTCCTCTGTTTAATTCTGAATCTTGAATCCCATGTCTATCTCTTGGTTATTTGGAAGTACATCTCATAGAAACCTGCTAAAAATGGTGCATGGGAGATAAATTATTTGAAACTTTTCCTGTTTGGGAATGTCTTTATTCTATTTTTATAATTGATTAATAGCCTGACTAAGCTTGACATTATTTCCATTCAGGAAATTCATAAGCAAGTTTATAAGCATTGATCTGTTTTTTATTCTAGATTTTTATTCTGGCTTTCAATATTTCTGATCAGAAATTTGATGCCATTCTCATTCAGGATCTTTCTTTCTGAAAGTATTGGGACCTCTTCTTTATTTTTTGTATTGATGTATAACTTGGTGTATTTTTTCCTACATGGTACTGAACCTTTATTGGGTCTTTTTCATCTCACCTTTTTTTAAAAAATATTTTTATAGCTCTAGGAAATTTTCTTGTATTATTTCTTTGACAGTATTTTTCTTGTCATTTTCATATGGGTTCTCTTTCTAGAACTCCTAGTCATAAGCTACGGACCTCCTTAAATAATATCCTGATGTGCTGATGTTCTTATCTTTTTTTTTTTTTTTTTTAAGACAGAGTCTTACTCTGTCACCAGGCTGGAGTGCAGTGGCGTGATCTCGGCTTACTGCAACTTTTGACTCCCTAGTTCAAGCGATTCTCCTGTCTCAGCCTCCCGAGTAGCTGGGATTACAGGCACACACCACCACACCCGGATAATTTTTGTATTTTTAATGGAGACGGGGGTTCACCGTGTTGGTCAGGCTGGTCTCAAACTCCTGACCTCGTGATCCACTCACCTTGGCCTCCCAAAGAGCTGGGATTACAGGCATGAGCCACTGCTCCCTGCCTGCTCTTATCTTTTCTATAGTATATCTGTTTGCCTTTTTTTTCTGTGTTCTTAAAGATTTGTCAACTTTATATTTCTACTTATTTTTACATTCATGTATTATATTTTTGATTCGTAGAGCTCATTTTTGTTTTCTAATTTCCCCCTTATAATTAATGTCATCTTCATTTGTTTCATTAGTACAGAATCCATTTATATTCTGAATTCATGATATTTTCTGAAGTTTTCTTTTACATCCTGTATTGTCTCCATTTTCTCTCTGTGCTTTTTGTTTTTAGTCTTTAGTCAGAGTACAGGCTTTTATTTCAGTAAGACATCTTACCCTTACTTCTGTCTGTATTTGGTATTTGATAGTTCATTGTGTCTCGAGTTCATTTTCTGTAGACAGTAAACTTTGGTTCTCCTGACAGAATGAGAGAGGGGTGGTTGCAGACTCTCAAATTGTCTTCTTCTTTTTAGCTTCTCATTTTACACTTACGTAGAATCCAATATAGATTCTTCTTTCTTGAATTCATCAGGGAAAAGCAGGTTGACCTTGATCCTTTCTGCTAAGTCATATATCATTCCACTGTCTGTTTTCTGCCTTCATATATGAAGCTATGATTGAAGGTTTAAATGTTTCCTGATTTCATTAAAGATGAGGTTACATTGTTTCTCTGCAGCTCAAATCAAAAGTAAATTGCATTTTAAAATATATTTTTCTTACAGACTTTATGTAATTATGAAAACTTTATGTACCTAAAAATAAAGATTAGAGAATTGATGTTGCTTTAATTTTCTCCCAAGACTTAAGAGGTTTTGTGTTTTTTGGAATATACTTGTTAGTTGTCTTTTCAAGTAACTATAAACACACAAATTCTAATTAATGACTTTGATGTTTATTTAATTCTGTTCTTATGAAACATTAACATTTAGTTTATAATTTTATTAATATTAGTAATTATATAACACTCATAACAAATTTATATAGTTTACACACATTTTTAATATTCTCTTTTAGTTTTGTTAATGTTTTTCTTTTTAGCTCATTAATGAAATTGAAGAAATGGGTGGAATGGCCAAAGCTGTAGCTGAGGGAATACCTAAACTTCGAATTGAAGAATGTGCTGCCCGAAGACAAGCTAGAATAGATTCTGGTAAGATAGTGAGAAAGTTCATATATGAAATCCAGTAGTTAAAAAGAAATTCATTTCTGTTTGAAGATAACATGTATAGTTAACAAAACAAAAATAATGAAAAATGGAACTTGGGTAAATTTTTTCTCATATACTTGTATCTATCTATATATGTATTTTCACATACATGGATGCACACAGGCAAGCATATGTACAAAGTGTGTGTGGATGTCTAACCATTGTATATATGTACATGTTTGTGGGTAGATGTCATTAACATTTTGAAGATGACACTGTTGATGATCACAGTGTTCTCTGCATTGGAGTATTCATTCATTCAATGAATACTTCTTTAGTTTATTTTGTTTGAGGCACTTGCTATGTCTGGGCATACAACTGTGAACAGGACAGACATGACCTCTATGACCTCTATGCACACAAATCTTACATTCTAGTAAAAGAGAGGAAAATGAACAAGTAAATAAAGAATTATAGATCATGATAAGTGCTATGAAGGAAATATGAAGGAGTATAACCAGGGGTAGGGGTTGTGGGAAGTTTTATATAAGAGTAATAATCTGGTAGTTTGAGGTAAAATATATTCTTTATCATGTAAGGAAGTATCTTTGTAATTTTGATTTACTAATAGATTATAGAAGGGTTCTTTTTTTGTTTAAAAGTGACTGGCTGAATTCAAAAAAATATTAGAAAAGCTACTGGGTATTCATTCTCTACCTTATAAATCTTAGATGGCAGCTGCTCTGATTGTTATTTCGAAGTGTTAAAAGATTTATTAGAAACCGTGGGAAAGTGTATATTAATAGTTTGGTAGAATAATGAAAGTCCTTCCTTACAGAGACTCTGACATATACCTCTACTTTCCTCTCACACCCCCTTCTCAGATTGGGATTTGCTGATCTATATTGAAGTTGCATTAAGAATTAAGAATACTACTTAAAGATATTAAATTTATAAGGAAAATACATCATAACCAGAGCATTACAATTAGGTAATTATTTGTGAATAAAATTTTTCTTTGGGAAATTACCAGGTTCTGAAGTAATTGTTGGAGTAAATAAGTACCAGTTGGAAAAAGAAGACGCTGTAGAAGTTCTGGCAATTGATAATACTTCAGTGCGAAACAGGCAGATTGAAAAACTTAAGAAGGTATTAATAGCTTGCTTTTTTTTTTTTTTTTAAGTATTTTCTGTGTTCTGGGCTCTGGCTAAGCTTTTAAACTGTCCTGCTTAAATTAATCCTTACAACAGCATGAGGTGTGTATTAATTTCCATCATTTCAAATGTAAGGGAACTAAAGATAAGGCATTGAGAAACTTGCTCAGGATAAATAGACAACCAGGACTCAGTCTTAGTCTGTTGACACCAAAAACTTGTTTTAAACCATGATATCTACCTCTGTGAAACTTATAAGTTGTTATTAAAAACCACACTACAATAATAATACCTTCCATAATTTATAGATTAAAACCAAGGCTTAGATGATTATGTAACTTACTAAAAATTAAAAACAGAATAAAGTTTAGAGTTATTATTTGAACCCAGGGCTTCTTATTGTAATTTCTTTCACCAGAATGATGGCATCTGATACTACTTTGAAATAATTACTTGCTTTTTGATTTTTAAAATTCAACTATATTTGGTAGTGCTTTAGTAAGGTACAGTTTACAATAAACTTTATTTATTTTGATTGAAACTAGAGTATCGTATTCCCTTCTTATTTTTAGTTTGTCACTGAGTTGATCCAGAGCATATGAAATACTAAAATAGATAAATCAAATTAATTGTCACTGTTGTAACCTATATATTTTTGTTGTATGAAGCTACTTTGGCCTCTTAATCTTTGGCATTTGTAAGTACTGCTGTTTCCAAGGTAGGGAGCTTATACATTTAATGGTTTTCTTTGTTTACTTTTCCTGAGATTGTTTAATGTATGGCTTTTTTTTTAGTTCAATCTATAAAAATCTAATAGTATTTATTTTTGGAAAACCCTTTCTTTTCTGTTATACTTTAGGTTATTAACTTTATATCTTCATAGCCTGAAGGATTTCATTTATCATAAATAATGATAAGCCTTATTTTGGGCAACAGAGAGAAATTCATTAATGACAATATAGCAATAATAGTTAACATTTATTGAGCACTTACTGTGTACCCATACTGTACTAAATCCTTTTCTTGAATTGTTGTTTTTGTGTATTGTTTTATTTAACAGGTAGTTACTATTTTTATTTCCATTTACAGATGAGGGAACTAATGATTGGAGAGTCTCATTTAGTTGCTCAAGTTTATAGTATAAGTGACAAAGCTGGGATTTGAATGCAGGCTTTTTGACTCTAGAGCCAGTTTAGGAGAAATGGATATTCTGATGTAACTTTTTCCTAGTTTTGAACTTTCTTAGGACCATGACCAAATCAAAGTTCTTCTATTACAAAAATTAATTTTCATAGCTAGAATCAGATATTTTTATAGCAAAATATATTTCTGCTGCAATACTCTGAGCTCTCTTTAGTAATGAACTCAAGTTTATATTTTCTTACGCTTTCCTTTTACCTATGGTTTTAACAATATTTTACCTGTGGTGGTAATTTTTTTAAAAATGTGAACTATCTCAACAGTAATTTTATATTAAATTATTTTTCTGTAACCGTCAGCCCTAATTAATTTTAGCATCTGTTTTCACTCCCTGAATTTTAGTAATCTGTTGTTGAGATAATTATAGCAAACTACCTAATCTAAGGATGACTAATTTTCTAGTAAACCAGAAAAGGTGTACTTCTTAGGTCTTTGCTCAAATGTCACCTTATCTAAGAAGCTTACAGTGATCCAATATCTACAATAGCACCCTACTACCTTGTGCCAAATCACTTCGTTATTTACTCGATTTACTTTATTTTTCTCTTAAATTGTATGTGTTTATTGTTTCTTTCTCCAATAAAAGATAAAGAAAAATGGGCATTTTTATGGAGAATTTGGAGTTGAGTTTTTTCTTGCTCTAAATATAGTTGGACCTCCATATCTGTGGGTTCCACATCTATAGATTTAACCAATAATGAATTGAAGATATTTGAGAAAAAAAGAATGGATATGTCTGTACTGAATATGTACAGACTTTTTTCTTGTTATTTCCTAAACCATACACTATAACAACTATTTATATAGTATTTACATTGTATTAGGAATTATAAGTAATCTAGAGATGATTTAAAGTATACAAGAAAATGTACATAGGTTATATGCAAACACTACATCATTTTATATAAGGGCCTTGAACATCCCTGAATTTTGCTATCTGTGGATAGGGTGGGCAGTGGGTCATGAAACCAATCACTCACAGATACTGAGGGATGACTATAAATTTTCTGTACCTCTGCTTATATATGCTATATAATACTAGTGGCATCTTGAGCAGTATATTTTAGACTCTTTTACAGGTGGTACAATTTGTAAAAAAATGGATTTATGCAACTTTATTTTGACAAATTATTGGCAGAGCAGAGTTAGGACCCAGGGAAAACTTTTTTACTGTGCTTTTCATTGTATATCTTTTTCTTAGTCCCTCTTTCGCTCTCGAGATTATTTTTAAATAAAAGTATAGCAATATGCATATTATTATCAATACATTGTTATTTATCTAAAGGAAACTTAAAATATAACTAAAATATTCTCTAAGTTTTGATTTTTTTTCTTGTCACTATTAATCTTTAGTGTTCCTTCAAAATACTTCATATGAAAGACCCACTTGTTTACAATGTCTTGGTACTTTAGAAAAGCCTAAGTAACATGTGCTACTTGGGAAGGTCAGCACTATTATTGCCCTTCATGTTTCTGATTTGTTAGGATTATACCAAATGTAATATTATTTTAGGAAATCCTGAGTGAATGAATGAATTGAATGAATAAAATTCCTAGGTTATATATTATTCTTTTCAATTTTTTCCTCTTAAATTTGGAGTTAGGATTATGGAAAAAAATGCCATATGCTATGCATCAGGGTCTAATCTCTTGATCTCTGTTTTATTCTCTCTTCATGTAAATTGTCCCTTTCCTTGACTTTTTCCATAGATCAAATCCAGCAGGGATCAAGCTTTGGCTGAACGTTGTCTTGCTGCACTAACCGAATGTGCTGCTAGCGGAGATGGAAATATCCTGGCTCTTGCAGTGGATGCATCTCGGGCAAGGTGAAGATATATAAGTTTGGAGGTTTCCAAAGACTAAAAGTTGACCAGTTTAGCTTTTCAGAGTATACTTAAATAAAAGGTTGATCCTGTAAACCATGTGAGCCCAAAAGAAAATAATGGCATCCATCGTAAATTTAATTCTTATCATTTTAAAATTTCTGTATTTAAAACATTCATGTTTTGAGTGAACTGTATTAATAATTGTGTATTTTACTGTGGCTGAGGAATTTTGAAACTATTGAAATGAATCCATTTCACTGATTCGCAGGTTGAAATGTGTTGGACTCTCAAGTATATCACCAGGTTTATGCCTATTACCTTGGTATTTTACCAGTTAAAATGGCTGTGGGGTGGGGAGGGGAACATTAATCTGAGAATTTATAGGAAAAACTTGTCATCCCATTGCTTTTGAATTAGTTTTAACCATGAAGCAACCGGAAGAGCAACCAACTTCCCCACACCCCCCTCCCAGTCCTTCCCTTGTTATTGGAGCCATGTGTTCCTTTAGGAGTAGAATACTTATTAATTGTTACTAGTCTTTTATCTCCTTTTGACATTTTGGTCTACTGCATTTGATTTTCTACTGTAATATAATTGCTCTTACTAAGTTCACTAGAGACCTCCTCTTTGTCTGATATTGTGAATAATTTTTAGTCCTTATCTTGAATTCTCTACAGTATTTAACATTATTGACCACCTCTTCCTTCTTGAGACGTTTTGCCTTTGTAACCCTTAACATGCTCCTTTGTCTCCTAACTTTTGTCATCCTGCATTTAAAAAAGGCTGAGTGAAAAACAGAATCTAATCTCATGTTATATCTGCTTCAGTGTTCCCATAGACACGATATTTGGCAAGGTAAAGTTTTTTGTACTTACTACCTAATAGGATTTTTGTGAGAAGACATTAAATCATTAAAAATAGTTCCTGGAACAGAATATGGCACTTAATGTGTTAATTTTTATTATTTTTCTATTTGTTGTTATTTAAAAATTATCTCATTATATGTATCATATATAAATAAATTTATTATATTAAGAACCAGAAGGAGTCTGAAATATTACCCTTCTTGCAAGCTAACAAGTTATCCTGTATAGTGGGGTGTTGGTTGATGATATGAGATCCCTGGATCAGAACCTAATGACAGTTTGTTACTACAATATTAATAGCCATAACATCAGCAGGTTTTGGGCTAGTTCCTTTGATGCCCAATTGATGTGAGTGATGTGAAAAGGACTGCTAGATGATACCTCATGTACAGTGCATTGGGTTACATTCAAGGAGAGGAAGCCTGAGCTTAGGGATTCGGAATCTTTTGTAATGGGTAATAAGCATGTCCTCCATTTTTCTAGAGGAAGACATTATTATATTGGACAGAAAGCAAACCTACTCTTTGCTCTGGAGGTAGCCAATATTTCTGTCTTCTAAGGCGATTCACTATACAGACATCTTTGAAAAGATAGTCCAGAATAAAGAGGTGTCAGTGCTTTGCTCCACAGGATGTGCAGAAAAGCAAGTGACCCATGGAAAATTTTCTCCCAATATATGGCAGTATCATTAAATGATTACTTTTGCTTTTAAGTGTTTATTTCTTAATATAATGAAGTTTTAAAAAAATATGTTGCTTTAACTGGTTAAGGTATAGTATAACTTGTATGTACTGTTTTTTTCTACTACTAATTTCATTAAAAAAATTAGATGACTTTTATTAAAGTCCTTTGATGGTTGCCCATTCCTTTTATATTCAAACCTAATCTTCCGATAGTCTGCAAGATGTGCTAGATGTGACTCTTGCCCATCTCTCTGACCTCATCTTATACCACTTTCCTCACTATGCCGTGTTCCTAATGCCCTTCTTTCTATTTTTAGAACATAAAACATATTTTCCTACATCTCAGAGCCTTTGCTTTTAGTGCTTCCTTTTTCAAACACTCTTACTGTTTTATGTTCCCTTGGGATCCCCCTTTTTATAATTTATATCTTAGTTCAAAAGTCATATCTTCACATCTTCAATAACTTTAAAATGGTTCTTCCAGACAGCCCATTCCATCTTTGCGTGGTTTAGTGTCTTTGTAGTACTTATTACCTTATGAAATTGTCTTACTAGTTTATTTATTTAGTTATTTATCATCTGCATCCTCTGACTAGATGTTACAGATGTTAATGTCTATAAGAACAAGTACTTTTTCTTTGGTCTCATTTATTACTGTATCGCTATAGTAGATATAGAGATATAGTAATATCTGGCACATATTAGGCACACAGCTAATGTTGGATGAGTTAGTGAACAAATGGATGGAATATGCTAAAAGATTTACTTCTTATCAAAAAATATTTATGGGAGTGTTGCTGTTTATCCATTTGTGTTAAGTGGTGAATTATTCAGCAACCTTCAGGTACTTGTCTATATATATAATTATTAGGTCATTCAGTCATTTCTTGGTTGACAAATGTTGAAAAGAGAATTGGATGCATAAAGGCATCCAGAATAAATTTTTCTTAAGTAATTTCAGAAGAGATGCTTTCATAATGCATTAAAAAATTCTTATTTTACATTTTTACAGTCATTTACTTATGTAATAAAATGTTTAATTATATTGAATATTATGGTAAACAGATATCTTTATCACAAAATAATGAAGTTAATGGAACCACCATTTCATGTTTCAGATGTACAGTGGGAGAAATCACAGATGCCCTGAAAAAGGTATTTGGTGAACATAAAGCGAATGATCGAATGGTGAGTGGAGCATATCGCCAGGAATTTGGAGAAAGTAAAGAGATAACATCTGCTATCAAGAGGTAATATGTAAGGTTTCTTAGGCCAGAATTTCATCTTTTCTGTTAGCACAATCCCCTTGAATCTACTGGGAGCTTAATTTCCTTACATACAACTGAGAAAATTTTTGAATTTTATAATAATAAATAGTAAATTAAATATTAATTATATAGACTATATAACATATAATAGAGTATATAATTTATTCATTACATATAATATATAATTAGAAATATATCATACATGATACATATTATATATCTATACTATCATTTTAATAGGTACATGATAATATTTAATAATAAATATCAAATATTGAAACTAATATTAGTTTTCATATAATTAATACTATTTTGAACTTTCACCATAGTCCCCTTCAGGAGTTTCTCATGTCAAACAGATGTTTAACTAACAATGATATTGCTTCATATCCTCCAGGTATTTATATTTCAATCTGCTTACTATGGTAGAGTTTCATATTTTTTGAAGTTGTTTACATTTTTCATTGCTTGAATAATTATAAAATCTTAATTTTCATAATTGAAAGTAAACATTTAGTTGGCATCTATGCATACATTACAATCAGTATTTATTGAACTGATAATAACTTACATTTATTTCCACAGCATGACTTGGAAATATATATTAATGTGATCATATTTCTCAAGTGTAAGAACTAGCTTTTTGATGATTGGTCTTTCCAACCTCTGTAACAAGCTTCCAATTAAAAACTGAATTTCCATACTTGTACACTAGATAAATATCAAAACAGCCAAGGTGAAAGTCATCAAAATGGAACTTTTTTCTTTTAACAAAGATAAGTGCTTTTTTGTGTTGGAAGTAAATTTGTCAGTGGAGCAAGCAAGCATTTTGATTTATATAGCATGATAAGAAACCATATTGCTGTTACCTTGGGAGAGTTCACACTTAT
This sequence comes from Homo sapiens, assembly GCF_000001405.40. Taxonomy (NCBI): domain Eukaryota; kingdom Metazoa; phylum Chordata; class Mammalia; order Primates; family Hominidae; genus Homo; species Homo sapiens. The sequence goes on along the minus strand of NC_000006.12, from coordinate 49,440,931 downwards.
GAAGGGTAGATGAGATATGGACAATTCAAAGCAGCCAGTCTATCACATATATGTATAAATGACCATGAAGTCACTTTTTAGTTTATATTTCAATCTTTCTGCATGTTGTACTCTGTACCCTGGCTCACGAAGGTGGGAGGTTGTCATTTTTTGTCTTAGTTCACCGTGATGTTCTCAGTGTTATGTGCTTACAGTCTGTGCCATCTTTCAGACTTTCCTCTAAGGGGGAAATGGCTTTAATGGAGCTCTCAATGTAAAATAGATGCATTAACAAAATATGGACGAGAGTAGGGAGATCATCACAAAGAATAGCTAATGGATGCTGGGCTTAATACCTAGGTGATGGGGTGATCTATGCAGCTGTTTACCATGGCACGTGTTTAACTATGTAACAAGCCTGCACATTAACCCCTGAATGTAAAATAAAAATTGGAAAAAAAAAACAACCCAAAATACAAGTAAACAAATTAGGTGCTTTTAAATAAACTTGAAAGATTTGCTGTGAATAAATTAGTTTTTATATCTTCCCTTTGGAAAATTAGTATCTAACTACTGATATATTTTTAAATGTTTTTCAGGGTTCATAAATTCATGGAACGTGAAGGTCGCAGACCTCGTCTTCTTGTAGCAAAAATGGGACAAGATGGCCATGACAGAGGAGCAAAAGTTATTGCTACAGGATTTGCTGATCTTGGTTTTGATGTGGACATAGGCCCTCTTTTCCAGGTACTAAAAACTGTTGGGGGGAATTTCAAAAGTATTTACTAGTCACTTACATTTAGAAAATGTAGTAAAATGATGACAGACATTGAGCAAATTAATACATCTCCTGGTAACTGGTATGTAGCCACTGACTTGGCAAATGCCTTTCTCTCCATTCCTGCCCATAAGGCCCACCAGAAGCAATTTGCCTTCAGCTGGCAAGGCCAGCAATATACCTTTACTGTCCTACTGCAGGGGTTTATTAACTCTCTGGCTTTGTCATAATCTTATTCGGAGAGACCTTGATCACTTTTCACTTCTGCAAGATATCACACTGGTCCATTAATTGATGACATTATACTGATTAAATCCAGTGAGCAAGAAGTAGCAAACATACTGGACTTATTGGTGAGACAGTTGCATGCCAGAGGATGGGAAATAAATCTGACTAAAATTCAGGGACCTTCTCCCTCAGTAAGGGGTCCAGTGGTGTGGGACCTGTTGAGATATTCCTTCTAAGGATAATCTTAGAAGGATAAATTAATGAATTTGTCTCCTACTAAAACCAAGAAAGAGGAACAATGCCTAGTGGGCCTATTTGGATTTTTGGAAGCAACACATTCCTCATTTGGAATGTGTTACTCTGTGTTACTCTGGCCTATTTATCGAGTGACCCAAAAGACTGCCAGTTTTGAGTGGGGTCCAGAATAGGAGAAGGCTCTGCAACAGGTCCAGGCTGCTGTGCAAGCTACTCTGCCACTTGGGCCATATGACCCAGCAGATCCAATGGTGCTTGAGGTGTCAGTGGCAGATAGCAATGATGTTTGGAGCCTTTGGCAGGCCCCCATAGGTGAGTCACAGCAGAGGCCTCTAAGATTTTGGAGGAAGGGCCTGCCATCTTCTGCAGATAACTACTCTCCTTTTGAGAGACAGCTCTTGGCCTGTTACTGGACTTTGGTGGAAACTGAATGTTTGACTATGGGTCATCAAGTCACCATGCGACCAGAACTGCCTATCATGAACTGGGTGCTTTCTGACCCATCTAACTATAAAGTGGGTCTTGCACAGCAGCATTCCATCATCAAATGGAAGTGGTATATATGTGGTCCAGCTTGAGCAGGTCCTGAAGGCACAAGTAAGTTACATGAGAAAGTAGCTCAAATGCCCATGGTCTCCACTCCTGCCACCCTGCCTTCTCTCCCTCAGCCTTTATATATATATATGTAAGGGGGAGTTTATTAAGTGTTAACTCACATGATCACAAGGTCCCACAATAGGTCTTCTGCAGGCTGAGGAGCAAGGAGAGCCAGTCCGAGTTCCCAAACTGAAGTATTTGGAGTCCAATGTTCAAGGGCAGGAAGCATCCACCACGGGAGAAAGATGTAGGCTTGGAGGTTAGATCAGTCTCTCTATTCACATTTTTTTGCCTGCTTATATTCTAGCCACGCCTGGCAGCTGATTAGATGGTGCCCACCCAGATTAAGGGTGGGTCTAGCCCTTTCCTAGCCCACTGATTCAAATGTTAATCTCCTTTGACAACACCCTCACAGACACACTCAGGGTCAATACTTTGTATCCTTCAACCAAGTTGACATGGAGTATTAACCATAACACATATAGTCCAATTAATTATGATAGAAATAAAAATAAAATATAATTAATCTTTCAGACTTTTAAAAGTGTCAGTTCAGAACTAAAACTGATTATGCCTCTGGAACTATGAAGATTACTTTCAAAGATCTTATTGTACTCTTTATTGAGATTTGACTAATATTTTGTGGGAAAGATAGCCCACATGGGATTGGTGAAAAGTGTTTTGAAAAAGAAATCAAATAGCAATATAAACTCAATTCATAAGTAAGGTTATTTTCGTTTATTTTTGTTGTCTTTTTTTAACTCTCTACTAATATGTTACTTAGTCACAGAATATTAGACTTAGACAGGAAAATAGTTTGCAGGAGATAAATTACACTGACATTTTCCATAGAATGATAATACAAAAAAATTTGACTAGAAAGTACATTGTAATAATTTTATATGAAAAGCCTTCTCTACTACATATGTATTGATCATCTACCAGATGCTAGGCTCTGAGTTGAGTAGGATACAATTTTGTCCTCGAGGTTACAATCTCCTAACAAAGAGAGATTTACTTACTTGTAATTACATCGTATGAAATTTACTATGTAAATTATTACTATTTCGTACATAGTATGAAAATTACTATAACTAAATTACTATAACTTTATACTATACTATAACTATAGTATAAAATTACTATAACTAAAATATGGACAAAGAGGGCACCTCACTTGTTACAAGAAACCCAGAAACTTATATTTGTTGATCCTTAAAACTTATGTTTGTTTCAGAAGCACAGTGCCATTCACTTTCTAGTAAAATCACTCTCTGAAGTGGATGGAGGAGAGCTGCAACTAGATTCAAGCAGTACGGTGAAGAAAAACAATGAGAAACAACGAAGACCTTAACTAGGGCAATGTCAGGGTCTCAAGAGAAACCAAATCTCAGCTAGGATTTTGAAGAAAATTTAATGGAGGGACTACTTACAGATATGTAGGCAGGATTGCTAGAACCACTAAGGAATAATGAGGCCTCCAGGAATTAAATTTTTAAGAATTTCAAAAGCCAGTTGTTTTTCATGGTGTGAAATGGTGTCTCATTTGTTTAAGTTCCTTGTAGATTCTAGAGAGTAGACCTTTTACTATTGCCTAAAACCAAAAGTGATAAGTACTAAAAACTTATCACTCCCTATATTTATATATTTTATTATCTGCTTTTTAGGTTATTTCCATCTATTTTTTCTATATGGTAGTGATACTGTATAATTGTGTGGCTATTGTGTGTCTTTTTTTCTGCTTTGCATTTAGTAATGTCATGTTAATAGGGTGAAATTGGCTATGGTTGGAATATTCACAACATAAAAATCAGCAAACACTAAAAATTAGGGATTGAGTTATTGTTTTCAGAAAATTTGATGAAAAATGTAAATAATCAGAACAAAGTTCTCTGAGGGAAATAATGTAACGATGAATATTAAATTTAAAAGTTTCTGATATCTGTAGGCATTACATTAGGAAGACCCCCCAACATTTGAGGAAACATTCTTTTAGTATTCAAAAAAATATTATTTTTTGTTTGTTTTTTTAACTTTTATTTTAAGTTCAGGGGTACATGTGTAGATTTGTTATATAGGTAAACTTGTGTTGTTAAGCCTAGTACCCATTAGTTGTTTTTCTGACCTCCCTCCTCCTGCTCCTCTACCCTCTGATAGGCCCCAGTGTGTGTTGTTTCCCTCTTTGCCTTGTTTGTGTCCATGTGTTCTCATAATTTAGCTCCCAATTATAAGAAAGAACATGTGGTATTTGGTTTTCTGTTCCTGTATTAGTTTGCTAAGGGTAATGGCTTCCAGCTTCATCCATGTTCCTGCAAAGGACACGATCTCATTCTTTTTTTCTGGCTGCATAGTATTCTTTAGTGTGTGTGTATCACATTTTCTTTATCCAGTCTATCACTGATGGGCATTTAGGTTGATTCCATGTCTTTGCTGTGGTGAATAGTGCTACAATGAACATACATGTGAATGTGTATTTTTTTTTTTTTTTTTGAAACAGAGTCTCGCTCTTTCATCCATGCTGGAGTGCAGTGGTATGATCTTGGCTCACTACAACCTCCACCTCCTGGGTTCAAGTGAGTCTTCTGCCTCAGCCATATGAGTATCTGGTACTACAGGCACGTGCCACCATACCTGGCCAATTTTTGTATTTTTAGTAGAGATGGGTTTCACCATGTTGGCCAGGCTGGTCTCGAACTCATGACCTCAAGTGATCCACCCGCCTCTGCCTCCCAAAGTGCTAGAATTACAGGCATGAACCACCACGCCCAGCTGCAAGCATGTTTTTATAATAGAAAGATTTCTGTTCATTTGGGTATATGTACGGTAATGGGATTGCTGGGTTGGGAGGTATTTCTGTTTTGAGGTCTGTGCGGAATCACCACACTGTCGTCTACAATGGTTGAACTAATTTACACTCTCACCAACACTGTATAAACGTTCCATTTTCTCCACAACCTTGCTAGCATCTGTTATTTTTTGACTTTTTAATAATAGCCATTCTGACTGGTGTGAAATGGTGTCTCATTGGGGTTTTTATTTGCATTTCTCTAACAATCAGTGATTTGGAGCTTTTTAAAAATACGATTGTTGGCCACATGTATGTCTTTTTTGGAAAGTGTCTGTTCATGTCTTTTGCCTGCTTTTTAATGTTTTTTTGTAAATTTGTTTAAGTTTTTTATAGATGCAGGTATTAGACCTTTGTCAGATTCACAGTTTGCAAAAGTTTTCTCCCATTCTGTAGGTTATCTGTTTACTGTGTTGATAGTATCCTTTTCAGTGCAGATGCTTTTTAGTTTAATTATATCTCATTTGTCAATTTTTGCTTTTGTTGTAATTGCTTTTGGCATCTTCATCATGAAGTCTTTGCCCATTAGTATGTTCTGAATGGTATTGCCTAGATTGTCTTCCAGGGTTTTTATAGTCATTATCTAGTAATAAACAATGATTTATCTTTACTTTCTGACTGTTTAGACTCCTCGTGAAGTGGCCCAGCAGGCTGTGGATGCGGATGTGCATGCTGTGGGCATAAGCACCCTCGCTGCTGGTCATAAAACCCTAGTTCCTGAACTCATCAAAGAACTTAACTCCCTTGGACGGCCAGATATTCTTGTCATGTGTGGAGGGGTGATACCACCTCAGGTATTTTTTATCTCTATTTTTCTAGTACTGTGATGGGAATCTTGAGTAATGATAGCTTATTTGTGGTTCTAAAGATAAACTTGTAGATTTAGGAACATATTATTTCCTGGTGATTTCACTAAATAAATTCTACAAGGTCTAAAAGTGGACAGTGTTGTTTTGCATTCAAGTTATATTGCAATTTATTATGTATAATTTAACTTAACACTTTACAAAGCTTCAATGAGAGAACTACCTCCTTGCAAACCAGTAACCTATGCTAGATGTTTACCTTCATTCTCAATAAACAGTTATGGAGAAGGAACAGGATAAAAGTAATAAAACTCATAAGTGGAGTAGAGAACAGTGGTAGTAAATACACAGTGAATATATCAAAACCTAGCCAGAGATATAGTGAGTACTCCTTGTCCTGGGGGGTGGAATGAGTCCTTTAGTTTGCTTGCTTCTATTTAGAAGGAGCTACCTTGTGCTTTTCCTCCAGGATGGTCCCATCCCTAAATGTTATCTTACCTCAGAGCTATATCATTTACATGGTCCTATAAAACCCTTTATTATTTAAGCTAATCTGATTAGGGCTTGGTATTTCGGGAGCCAAAAATATCCTATTGCAGACATAAATGGAATCAGCTTGTCTTGAAAATTATAGGCTGAATGGGGAGGAGGTGAATACATGAACAAAACTGTGAGTCCTCTTAGTAGAGGAGAAACAGATGTTACCTACAATGATATCAGTTAATTTATTAATGAGGTAGGGAGACACCTTCCACATATGACATTCCTGGCCAGTTAAAATAGTTATTTAAAATACAAATAGGTTCTGTTTCCAATCCAGTTCTCAATTATATCAAGATTTTCTTTTTTACTGAGAATGGAAAAAATGTCAAGTTAGAAGAACTGTATATGAAGCTGTCGTAAGTAAATGACTCATAGATGCTAGCTGCAAAGGCCCCATCACTATAGCAGGAATCCATCAGTAAAATGTGACCTTGTTTCCAGCTCTACAGTTTTTTTTTCCTCCATTAATACTCAGAATATAGAATAGTACATTCATATACTACTTGTGAAAGGAGAAAATTCATATGAATAAAGTTGTGAGATTCGTAATAAAGTGGGGCTACTGAACAAACTACATATTTATTTTCTTTCCAACAACACATTATTTAATGTGATATAATCAACACAAAATTCTTTTTGTTAATATGCTTGCCTATTATATTCATAAAATAGGTCATTATTTGAGAAAATAAAGGGTAGTTATTCTTTATTGCAGTCTGTCTACAGAACGCTTCTATCAGCGTTGCAGTTTTAGAGTCTGTGATACCTAGGCATGATATTAAAATGTAAGGACCAAAATAATTAGCCAGTAGAAAACATTTGAATTGGAATTCATGTTGAGAAAAAAAAAATGCCTGTTATATAAGTGAGCTGACATTTTCAAGAATTATATTTCAAATAAGTTGTATTAATTCTCTGGATATTTAAATTACTTAGAACATCTTTAGGTGTTTGCCATGTGATTTTTCCCATGAATTTAACAACTAAGGATAAGGACCATTTTCTGTGTTATACTTTTGTGTGAATATGGGTATTATATAATTATAGCAGTTAACACCCTTGTATTTTCTCACTATTTGTTTGCAGTGAATATGTAAAATGTTGCTATTATTCAATTAAAGGTCACTTAGTTTTAAATTAGAAGGCACTAATATCTAGTGGCTAATCAAACAGATACAGCTTCTGCCATGTGGAGCTTAACAGTTTCTGCAGTCTGATTAAATGAATAAACGTGGTCTCTCCTCATCAGTATGTTACTACGATCAGTATTTTCTAACTCTCTTAGCAGCAGTCGCCTCCAAGTTTTTTCAGCAAGTTGAGTAGACTCACAATGCCTGCTTCCATCATGAAGCAGGCACTGTGCTATCCCTGGCCCAGCTAAGTGGAGGACATTCAAACATATATTTTTATTTGGAAATAATTTCAAACTAACAGATAAGTTGCAAAAATAAAAATAGTACAAAAAATATCTGTATACAACCCCCTCACAAAGGTATATTTTACAAGGCTTATGTAAGAAAGAGTTAGATAAGTCACATACCCTTTTTTCAGTTGCAACATCTTGCAGTTCTCTTCCAGTTGAATCCTCCATTCTAAATCCATAACTCAGATGTCAGGACAAATGGTACATGGGATTTTTAGGAAGGAGAGAAGTACAAGACCTATTAATCTGACATCTCCAATTTAGAGATGATTATTATTACATGTTTCATTCAGTTCCCTTATGAGCTCTTAAACTCTGTATCATCTACTCAAGAACAATGACATGTTTTGAGCACTTTTATGTGTCAAGTACTGGGGAAACAGATTGGACATGATCTCTACTCTCAGAATTTCACAGACTAGAAGGAGACAAGTTCAATGAGATGTGTTAAGTTCTGTTGCAATATTATAGTATTATAAGAATATTACAAGTATATAATAGAGACAGAAAAGTAGTAGTTGGGGAGTAATTAGCATGACCATATAATTTATCACTTGAGAATAGAAATGGGTGCTCTTAAAAAGGGTGCTGCAACAATAAACAAAAATCAGACTGTCCTGTCATATATGATCACCCTACTGGATAATGATCAGGTTCTTGTAGCACATCCTAACATCAATCGATATTGCAGCTACAAATGTTCAGATGTTATAACAGCCTAAATCCTGCAGTATTATTTGTGCCCTTGATATCTTTTCACTCATACTTTGACTGTTAAAATAAACTAAAAAGGCCAGGCACGGTGGCTCATGCCTGTAATCCCAGCACTTTGGGAGGCCAAGGTGGGCGGATCACGAGGTCAGGAGATTGAGACCATCCTGGCTAACGTGGTGAAACCCTGTGTCTACTAAAAATACAAAAAATTAGCCGGGCATGGTGGCGGGCGCCTGTAGCCACAGCTACTTGGAAGGCTGAGGCAGGAGAATGGCGTGAACCCGGGAGGCGGAGCTTGCAGTGAGCCGAGATAGCGCCACTGCACTCCAGTCTGGGCAACAGAGCGAGACTCCATCTCAAAAATAAATAAATAAACAAAACAAATAAATAAACTAAAAAAAATCAACAGCAACAGAGAATGAAAAAAAAAATGGGCTTATTTTCATTTATAGAAAATCTATCAGTTGTCCAAATTCAAAGTGCCATCATTCACTAACTGCAGACAAAATACCTAGGAGAAAATAGTTTTTTAGGCTCAAACTTATCACATCATACTAAATTTAACACACATAATGACAACTAGTGAAAATTTAGGTGAGAGAAAATTATGGCTTAAGGCTCAGAAGTTCTCAGTCAGGATATCCAGCTTCCTACCACAAGCAACACATAGAGGCATTTAGAAAATGGGCGGAGTGTTTTGTTTTTTAAATAACTTGGGCTGGGAGGCTGGTGCTGATGACTATTAGTAGCACTCCCAATCAAGGAAGAATTTTTTAGCCCCAAATGCCAGTAGTATACCAGTTGAGAAGGTTTTGGGTAATTGAGTGACAAAGAAGAAAGGATAGGGTTTTATTTCCGTGAAAATGGAAATAGTGGCTCTTATTAATTAAACACATTCTTTCAACAGGATTATGAATTTCTGTTTGAAGTTGGTGTTTCCAATGTATTTGGTCCTGGGACTCGAATTCCAAAGGCTGCCGTTCAGGTGCTTGATGATATTGAGAAGTGTTTGGAAAAGAAGCAGCAATCTGTATAATATCCTCTTTTTGTTTTAGCTTTTGTCTAAAATATTATTTTAGTTATGATCAAAGAAGAGAGTAAAGCTATGTCTTCAATTTAATTTCAATACCTGATTTGTACTTTCCTTGAAAGCTTTACTTTAAAATACCTTACTTATAGGCCTGGTGTCATGCTATAAGTATGTACATACAGTTTCACTTCAAAAATAAAAAAAAAATCCCTAAAAACTCTCTATACTCTCTATAACAATACTTTATCAAGAACTCTGGACAATGGTATTATTTTTAAAAATCATGGTGATGTATTTATTAGAATGTTTCTTATAAATCTGTTTACTTTTTATATTAAGAATTAAACTGTACCTAAAAAAACTCTGACTATTCCCATTTGTCAGTTTAGCATTACATTGTCTTGAGCACCAGAAAATAAAATCCATATATTAATAAAAACCTATCTTGAAAAACTAGTGGAGTGTATTTACGTGGCAAAAGAGATTTTGGGAGGAGTCCTCAGCCAAATTCTACCAGAATCACCTTAATAAAAGAAGTATTAAAATCAAGCACAGCAGGTTGGAATATGGGGAATTTGACAGTATATTTCTTCAAGTCTGAGTTTACTTTCTTCCTGATCATGACCATCTGACCTTGTTATTTCTGGGCTTGGCTCAAGACCAAGGAGAGTGGATGTTGATGAACATTCCTTTAAATAAAAGTGCTTAGGTTGTAGTTATGGCTTTGTCTAGAATGGTGATGTCAACTGTGAGTGTAGGTCTGTGATATAGAAAGAATTCAACTTTCCAGATCTAGAAAGATGCTACCTTGCATAGATTTGCTCCTTAAACATAAATTGCAAAAATAAAAATATCACAGAGAACACCTGTACTTTGCTTACTGAAAGATTTGCTCACTAAAGAAGGAAAGTTGCCATTTACCTGTTTAACAAATCTGCACATCCTGCACATGTTCCCCAGAATGTAAAATAAAAAAAGTTTAAATAAAAAAGGAAAGTTGTCCTTTATTGTTAACATGATCCATTACATGAATATAACATAAATAATTATCTTTTTTAATAAATTTCTATTGTATTAGATCAGAGAGCAGTCTTTTGGAAAGTATTATAGATACATTACTGTAGAATTTACAAACTCATTGTAATACAATGTATTTAATTTTCAGAATATGATTATCTGAATGGTATTGTCATGATTATTGTTCCCATTTTCAGATGAACACTGACTTCAAGTCCAATGATATATTCACTATGCCATTTTATTGACTTTTCCTTGTAAAGCAATGCACACTAATTTAGTAAGTATTTGGTTTCTGTGATGTGTTCAGTTGCGTGCTGGGTGACATGTGAAATAAACTCATCCTTGAGGAATTTACAGCTCTTGACAGTATCTTTTGAGTAGACTACTTTGGGAGGAAGAATAGCAGCCACTTGCTACCAAATTTCACATCCATTGTGTGTGTGTGTGTGTGTGTGTGTGTGTGTTTGTGTGTGTGTGTTTACCCGAAGTCAGAAGTACTGGCTCCAATAACCTTACTATTGAAAACCTATTTTCTGAAATATCCAGTGGCATAACTCATAGAAATGAAATCTGGCCTGACTCTAAGATTAAATTTTCTCATTATTATTAAATCGAGAAAGTGTTAAAACTTAAACACTTTAGTGTTATTTAGATTCCAAAAGATTCCAAAAGAAATTTCATCCGACCTTTATTACTATCCTTATTTTTGGATGAAAACTTGTATGCCCAACAATGAGCTGACTTTTGGAAATGATCAGGAAAATAACCAAGTATATTAAAAAAGTGGATAGATATTTTATACAGATAAGCTATCCGATATTCACCAAATAGTACAAGAAAATAATTAATGGATCAGGAAGACAACTACTTTCCTCATTTCCTTTCATCGAAAACATCTGATTCAAAATAGAAGATTCCAGCACAACCAAAACATACTGCACAAAGCAATTTAACTTACTGATATGTGTTGTTTCACAGGTGAGCACTTCATCAATCTAATAGTGCCCAATCTTAGTTACAGTTATTTCATCTTTGATAAGATTATATTTATGATGCATGATGCCAGTGAGGCAACTGACAGAGATAGGAAGAAGATTTTGCATTCATAGCCAGTGTGATCTAGATATCTTTGCTTTGTTTATAGGCTAATGAAGAATCAAGAGTTCATCTGTGAGAAACACACCATATACACATATCCACACCTGAACTGAAGAAATAGGGAACTCAGGCATTAACTAACTTAAACTCTTACCAATCAGGGTTCAGAGAAGAAGAATCAGTAGGAGACGTGTGTATGAGTGTGTGTGTGTGTGTGTGTGTGTGTGTGTGTGTGTGTGTTTATGAGCCGGCTGGAACCCCACAGGCATAAGCTGAAGCTTGTTTTCTTCAGGGAACCAGTCAGGAAGGAAGATAATAGACGGAAGGGAGAGCAATTGTTGATTCAATGACTGGAGTCTGGGCTCAGGAAAGGTTCAAACCCTTTTTATTATTTTTATTTTGTATTTTTAAATTATACTTTAAGTTCTAGGATGCATGTGCAGGACATGCAGGTTTTGTTACATAGATATACATGTGGCATGGCGGTTTGCTGCACCCATCAACCCATCATCTAAGTTTTTTAAGCCCTGCATGCATTAGGTATTTGTCCTGATGTTCTCCCTTGCCTTGCTCCCCAACTCCCCAACAGGCCACTGTATGTGATGTTCCCCTCCCTGTGTCCACGTGTTCAACTCTCACTTAGGAGTGAGAACATGCGGTGTTTGGTTTGCTGTTCCTGTGTTAGTTTGCTGAGAATGATGGTTTCCAGCTTCATCCATGTCCCTGCAAAGGACATGAACTCATTCTTTATTATGGCTGCATAGTATTCCATGGTGTATGTGTGCCACATTTTATTTATCTAGTGAGCTTTTATCTGATTAAGTCAGATGGCTTGCTCAGGATAATCTCTCTTTTGATTAAAGCCAATTGTTTAGGGGCTTTAATTATATCTACAAAATTTCTTTCCAGCATTATTCAGAGATTAGTGTTTGATCAACTGGGGGAATGTGTTTGTGTGTGTGCTACAGAAGGATTGTCTCCTTTCCATCCTCCAATCCACAAAAGAGAGGGAATATCTTATCCGTTGTATCTCATCCTAACTGGAGATATAATAGAAAGGGAATTTTGGAGACTGTAGTTCATTCTAGCTAAATTGACACATTACACATTACAAAATCGTCATATCCCCTCACTTTATGTATAGGCAACTGATGCAGAGAAAGGAAGATTTAACCAACATGACATGATATTTATAGCATGTCTAGAGCCTGGTTTGCTGGCTCCAGACTCAGCAGTTTTCATATTCATATCTGAGGAAAACCACATTATCAAGATTTATAACTACCCATATTTGCTATTCATTATTCTGCAGAAAGGTCCAAAATTTAGAGTCAGTACATATATAGTTGGTGACAAAAAATTTGAAGAAGAATCACTTTTGTATTGAATCAAACATTTGCATCAAAGGTATCTGAGGATGTACTTTCTCAAATCCAGTCTTAAAAAAATTATTCTCAGAGCTTCTTCTGTTATTAATGAATATGTCAACTGGGATTAATAAATATGTAAGACTTTTCCAAGACTGTAACAACTAACAGTAATTGTTATACAAAGCAGGCACTACTTTTCCTTTACTGTAAAGACTGCTCTGATTATAGACACCATTGACTCTTCTTCCCAAATGAGTCAGGAGTAAATAGACTCAAGTGGAACTTCTGGCTATAATAGATGGAGTTCCATAACTACAGGGAAGGCAAACAAAGTATTTCTAGCAATATTATAAGTAGGCTAGTGGCATCACATCATATCTATGTGCAGTGTTCTATCAAAAAGCTAATCTGGAGAAGGGAAGTTCATTTGTTGAGCCTTGGACTCTTTCAAAGTCTTGCACAAAGTGTTGTTGAAAAACATATAGAAAATATATATAAAATATAGAAAAAAAGAACTCCAGACTGGATAATCCAGAAAATATGTTTCCAATTAATAGTCTTCTGATAATAGAGCGCTAGTTAAGTCATTCAAAAATTCTGTATCATATGTTTCCTAAGTAAAAGTGAGGAGGCTGTTCGCCTAACAATAGTGACATATTTTTCATTTGGATACTGTGTTTCTCAACTCTAGAAGTTACATTTGGGATTTTTTTTTTGTAGCTTTCTATTTCTCTTATTTGTCACATTTTTCTTTACATTTTTGAACATATTTGTAATATATTAGCTATGCTAAGGTTTTTGCATGACAATTCTATTATTTCTGTCATTTTGGAGTATGCATTCATTTTTTTTCTTTCTGGTTGTGGGTTATGTTGCTTTTTTGTAGACCCGGTAATTGATCATTAGATGACATATTGTAAGTTTTGTGTTAGTTTGCTGTGTTAGTCCATTTTCACATGGCTAGAAAGAACTACCTGAGACTGGGTAATTTATAAAGAGAAGAGGTTTAATTGACTTACAGTTCTGCATAGCTAGGGAGGCCTCAGGAAGCTTACAGTCATGGCAGAAAGTGAAGGGAAAGCAAGGCATGTCTTCCATGGCAGCAGGGCAGAGAGAAAGAGAGGAAGTGCCACATTTTTAAACCATCGGATCTCGTGAGAACTCATTCCCTATCATGAGTACAGCATGGGGGAAATCACCCCCAAGATCCAGTCACCTTCCAGCAGGTCCCGCCAATAAGTGGGGATTACAATTCAAGATGAGATTTGAGTGGGGACACAGTGCCAAACCATATCAGTTGCATTCCTTCAAAGAGTATTGAACTATGTCCTCGCAGAAAGTTAAACTACTTGCAGTTCATTTTTATTTTTTCCATGCTTGCTTTTAAGCTCTGTTAGTCTGGGTCAAGAACAGCCTTTACAGTAGGGCTAATTTAGTGCCTTTCTTTTTCTTTTCTTTTTCTTTTTTTTTTTTTTTTTTTTTTTGAGATAGGGTCTCACTCTGTTGCCCAGGCTGGAGTGCAGTGGCGTGATCTTGGCTCACTGCAACCTCCACCTCCCGGGTTCAAGCAATTCTCTTGCCTCAGCCTCCCTAGTAGCTGGGATTACAGGTATGTGCCACCACACCCAGCTAATTTTTAATATTTTTTGTAGAGACGGGGGTTTCATCATGTTGGCCAGGCTGGTCTCGAACTCCTGATCTTGTTGTCCTAGTGCCATTTTTAAAGTTTTGATGTCGCATGATCCAGTAATTCCATTTCTGGGTATATACTCAAAAGAAGTTAAAGCAGGACTCAAACAGATTTATACACTAATTGCTATGAACTGAATGTTTGTGACTACCCAAACTTTTATTTTGAAGTGCTTACCCCTAGTGTAATGGTATTTGGAGGTAGGATCTTTGGGAGGTAATTAGGTTTGGATGCCGTCATGAGGATGGGATCCTCATGATGGAATTAGTGCCCTTGTAAGAAGAGACCAGAGTTTTCCTGGTCAGGTGAAGATACAGTACAAAGGCAGCCATCTTCAAGAGAATCCTTACCAGGAGCTGAACTGGTTAGCATCTCGATCTTCTACTTCCCAGCCTCCAGAACTGCCTGTTCTGGAATAACAGAAATAAATGCCTGTTGTTTAAGCCATGCAGTTGATGGTAATTTGTTAACAAAGACACAAATGTTCATAGCACATAGCAGCATTACTCATAATAACCAAAAGGTAGAAACAACCCAAGTGTCCATGATAAAATGTGGTATATACTTACAATGAATATTATTCAGCCTTAACAAGGAAGAAAATTTGACACATGCTACAATATGCTCATGCGTCCCTGAAGACATTTTGCTAAACGAAATGAGCCAGTTTAAAAAAAAAAAAAAAAAAAAAACAAGTACTGTATGATTCCAATTGTATGAGGTTTCTATAGTTGCCAAATTCACAGAGAAAAAAGTAGAATGGTGGTCCCCTGGAGCTGGGAGGGGAGGGGAAAAGGGGAAGTTATTCTTTAGTGGCTACCGAGTTTCAGTTTTGCAAGAGAAAAAGAGTTCTGGAGATGGATGTCAGTGATGGTTGCAGGTCAATGGGAATGCACTTAAGTCCACAGAACTCTACACTGAAATATGGTTAATATGATTAATTGTATGTTATATAAATATTTTATCAAAATAAAAACAATATATTTAGGACAGTGGTTGGCACATAATACAGGCTTTGTAAATATTAGTTATTATATTGTTATTATTGTATTAGTGTTCCTATTATTATTATTTTATAGAAATAATGAATGTTAAGGTGTGAAACCAAGCAGTAGGCGGAGAACAGATTATTTAGAGGCTTATGCTGTTAAGAAATTTGGATTGTTATCCTGAAGATTATAGAGAGCCATATAAGAGTTTTAACCAGAGAAATAATCTGATTGTTTCAGCACAGCAGATAGAATATGGCTTTTTATGTGGGCAATGACGGAGAAAAGAATTAAAAGGCTGTTATAGTGATATAATAGAGAATTCAAAGTATCTAAGCTTATCTGCTTAGGTGCTGATGAGAGACGTCAGAAATGGAGAGGATATGATTTTATTTTGGAAGATTGGCTTGACAGAAACTAGATTTTATCTTTTTTAAAAAAGTCTCTAGATCCTTAGGTATTGCTGTGTGGAATCTGCTATATCCCCTCACCCATTTTGGTTGTTTTCTGTGGACCTCTTTTGATGTGCAGTGATTTCATGACTGAATACACTGGTATAATGTCAAAATCAGGAAAAGGTAAAATGATGGGAATTTTTTTCTCAGTGATAATTTGTGTCCATACTAGAGCTCTCTGAGCTTTTCCGGCACCAGAAGAGCACCAGAATGATGTGTTTAGGGGGCACTGAAGACATGAAAATTCTCTTCCTGTAACGTAATGAAAATTTAACTATTGTATAAATATTTTAAGTACAGGAAGTGAAGCAGAGCTTTGGAGAGGTGTCCTTTCTGAGCAAAACCTGCGTGGAACTGGAGATTTAAATTAAAGTAACAGAAAACAATAAAAAAATTTGGATGATTACTCCTTCCTTTGATTTTCATCTCACAGAATGGGAATTCATATAATGGGGGGTGGGTGGTGAGGGGAGAAGCTTTTAAAAAGCTCTAGGTCTGTCTATTTGCTAACAAAATTATGCCACATGTCACTGCCACCCTCCATTCTCATCCTTAAACTCCTCTGCACTTCATACTAGTCAAAAACCTATTCTTAAAAATGAATCTAATAAAACCATATATGTTATGGTGAAAATGTCTATTAATGCAAAATATATTTATTCTACCAGAAATATTTTTATTTTAACTGAAGAAAAAACTTGCCAAAGTGATTAATATCTAAATATACTTATTGCTGCTTGGTAGACACTCAGTAAAAATGATAATGAAGATGATGATAATGATAATGACAATGATGACAACTAATGTTATTTCTACCAATAAGTAAATCCTAACTCACTTTCAAAGAACTGTGGGTCGTCTTTTAGGCCATTAGACAAAGTTTGATTGTAGAAGTAGCCTAAAGTTGAGAGATAAAATTGAAAAACCATATATTTGCTGTTAAGATATCCTTGTATATGTTGTGCTTATCATTATGAAAAATGCTCTAAGCATTCAAAAATGTTTTCAAGGAAGAACTATTTTGGTTTTCCTAATTAAACACAATGCTATTGTTTTCTGGTTCTCAGATCCTCGTTTTATTATTTTTTTTCCTACTGTACCTGTAGGTGTCTCCCTAAGTTCAGGATTATTCTATTTTCCTGACACTGTATTTGAAATGATGCCCATCCAAGAAACCCTTAGGTGCTATAAACACTCTGAGAAAAATCATGTCTGTTTAATAATTTACTTAGATGCTCCTAAGGTCACCCTTTGTAATTCTGATCTGTGGTCAATAAAATTAAATGTTGATAATTGTTTATGAACTGTGCTACATGTCATACTAGAATAATATGAGATTAATACTGAATTATATTCTGTGAATCCATCCCTAACTCACACAGACTCCTTTTTAAGTTACTAGTTCTCCATGAACTGTTTCCTCCATTTACATTCAAACCTCTTATTGTTATACTGACCTCTTCTTACTATTTACCATAATTCCCCTGAAGTCCTGAAAAACAGGGAAAGGCAGAATTTAATAACTTCTGGCAGGATTATTCCAATACCCTTTGATTCTGAAACCATAGGCAAAATATTAATTCAGACAAATGCTATGAATTCATGATACCATATACTTTTATTGGTTGACTATCATTTGCCAAATTTTAATATGCTATTACTTTTAGAAAATAAAAACAAAGATTTTCCTGTGATTTTGCAGAGCTACACATGCCCAGTAAATGCTATATGTCTCTTTAGTAAAGAGACATTTTTGCTGTTCAATTCCTTCTGTGAATGGAAAGCTGAGCCCTGAGCTTGCTTAAGGGGGTAGAAAAGTAGAGCCACACTGATGACATTCTCAGGTTTTCTGAACCATCTTGACTTGACTTTAAGCATTCTGTCCTATTGCCTTTATTTTAGTTTTGTCATTCTCATCAGACCATATGGTCATCAGAGCAATATTAGTGGCAATTTTTTGTCAGACAGAATAAGATGGTTATCTAGACATCAAGAATTGAAGGACAGTAGGCAGATGGCCCTCTTTGCCTGTAACATATTCTCATTGGTTTAGGGTACCTATGCCTATAAAAATATTATTTGAAAAAATTGCAAATACACTGAGAAAGCTTAATATTAAGTTGAACATTTAATTTTTTTTTTTTGAGATGGTGTCTTGCTCTGTCAGCTAGGCTGGAGTGCAATGGTATGATCTGAGCTCACTACAACCTCTGCTTCCTGGGTTCAAGCAGTTCTTGTGCCTCAGCTTCCCGAGTAGCTGGAATTTCACGCACACACCACCAGGCCTGGCAAATTTTTGCATTTTTAGTAGAGACAGTGTTTCACCATGTTGGCCAGGCTGGTCTTGAACTCCTGAGCTTAAGTGATCCATCCCTCTCAGCCTCCCAAAGTGCTGGGACTGTAGGCTTAAGCCACTGTGCCGGGCCAGAACATTTAAATTTAATTCTAAAAACATTGACTGCAAGGGCCATTGCTAATTGTGCATGGGTCATACACTGTCCAACTCCAGAGACAGCCATTTACTTTGTCGACATGCACTGTTGTAGTCCTGCATATTTTGTGCTGCAGTTTTTTGTCTTAAAAAAGGGATAATAATAGAGCTCAAATGTTTGTTACAAGAATTAAATGAGACAATGCATGTAACTTTTTGGAACTGTGCACCATGTGGTAAAAACCACAATAAATGTTTGCTATAGTAATTATTATTATACTTTGTAACAGTCTCACATCCAACCTTTGAAAACAAAACTTTGCTTACCACGTGATTCTTTTCCTTGAGGAGAAGATAAAACAGGTTCCTAATTTTCTTCTGTGAGAGAAATAAAACCTTCAAAAACAGACAATATATGGAGCCTAAATAATGACAGGGATTAAATGGACAGAGCATGAAATTCATAAAAGGAGATAAGATTGAAAATATAGGGTATGAATTTTATCATTTATTAACATGTTACTGTGATATCTTTTTTAAAAAACTGAATTAGCTTACTAACTTCAAGTTGCATTTCTTTTTTGCCTAGGATTGGCCAAGGCCTCTGTGATTAGAGAGATAATTCCTAAGTCACAGCATATGGTTGATCTGCTTTGAAATCCTTTAGGATTGCTTATTAAAAGCATAAGTTAGCTCACAATAGGCCCCTTACTTTCAATCCATTTTGTAAAACCCTTACTCAGACCCGGGGTGGTTGTATTAAATACGTTATTGGTCACAAAAGAATCTGATAACTAGACTACTGGCAAACGATTTTATGATTTGGGGGAGTAAAACTTTTCAGACATGCCTTATATGTATCTAGATTGACAGCATCATTAATATAAAGTAGATCATAGAGACGATGTTTGCAATAGGCCAAATAATTGAGATAACCTGTGTTTACTGCCTTTTTTAGGTGAGAAAATTTAATCACTTCCTATTTGGCACAGAAAGCTACTTCTCCCAAAGAACTAAGCTCTTTGACTAAGATTTATTTTGATCATAAAGTGAATAATCCAGGAAAAGAAAGAATTTTTTTGTGCCAAAATTCAAAATGATTTTCTTTTATCCTCCCAAATGTCATACTTTACTATAGAAGGCATTTGGGATAATTCTACACTTCCATTTGCTAAGAATCCAGCTAAGGGTTCTTTAAACATCCAATTGTTAGTCAATCTGTGCATATGAACCATTCTTGAGCAGAGTAAAAACAGTATGTGAAATACCTTTCCTCTATTGTTTTTCTGAAGATGTGACTGCTTGAGATTACCATAATAGACATGATATTAAATAGCAGTTTTACTCGTTTAAAATTTCTGAAACTCTTCAAAGTCACTATTCAGTGGGACAATAAATTGTAGAACAACAACAAAAAATCAACTCATATGATTTCAGAGATGCTGCCCCAAAATAATTTCCTGCATCCTACATTGTGCTGGACATTCTTTAACAGTAGACCACATCTTTAATTTCAGTTAGAACTCAGAGTAAACTAAATAGCTCTGATAGAGATGTTAACAGATCTTCCATATTAGGTCATTTACACACATACATTTTGATCTAGGAGAGATTATATAGGAGGTGATAATGTGAAAAGGGGATTTGTGTGAGTAATGGAATGGGAAAAGGGATAGGGAAGAGGAAATGTTGTTAAGGCACGTTCTTGCAATGGGTTTTCCTAAACAGTAGGAAATTGGCAGCAAAAATATTTTTTAGTTACTTGTGTGCAACGTAGGCTGTCATTCACTCTACTACCCTACTGTTTATCTTCCATGCAAATATGGAAAACTGAGGTCAAATTTAATTCAAGAATCAGGAAATATCAATATATGTGTGATAGTATACTTCCTAGGATAATGTCAGTAGGAACTCTGCACTCCATAGGTAATCAAGAGTGGAAAGAAAGCAGGGTGCTAAGAAATGCTGCATGCATACCTCTTCTTATAGACACATTTCCTCTGTCAGTTTATTTGTATTCAATAATTGGAGTATTTTTAACACAGATGCATGTGAATATTTGTGTGTGTGTGTGTGTGTGTGTGCTTGCGCATGTGCACATGTGTGTGTGTGCAGATGATGTGGAAGTAATCTAATCATGTAATCTATATTGACGGGTATAATGCCTTCCATTTCTAAGATTCTGACTTCAGTTTGAAAACAAATTTCTCTTTCTTTCTGTCGCATTGATCAAGTTTCCTCTGTAGGCTTTTATCATTGTACATCTAGGATTTTGTATCTCAGCTGAATTCTGTGAACATACTGAGTTTTGGAAAGAACATGGACTTGGGCAATAGGCTGACCTGGGTTGTAGCTCTATTTCAGCCCCTTCCCAGCTGTTGGATTCTGGGCAAGTTTTTTTTTTATTTGTCCTGCTTAGCCTCAGGTTTCTTAATACCTTAATACTTTCCTTAAATGCTCTTTGCATGAATGTGTGTCTCAGACAGAGTAAACTGAAGACATGCTCATTTTACTTCCCTTAGGGAGAGAGAAAACAAATGTATGAGTTATCTAATAATACAATGGGCAAAATTTTTTACTCCATTAAGACTGGAAGGAAAACAAAATCTGACCTTCTATTTCACATTGACTACCAAAAATATCAGAGGACACTAGTAAGTAAGGTGTGATATTTATTTAGTCAGTTTTCAAGGTGTGGATTTGTGATATATAGAAATCTACAGCAGCACATTCAAAGTAAGTCCTGCAAATAGATTTAATTTGAGTCACCTTGTCAGTTTAGAAACAATATCATAAATATAAATGACAAACTCCCAAGGAAAGGCAATGGCCATGCCACTTTGCTAGCTTTCACAAAACCTAATTTTCCATGCAGTCTCTGGTGCATTAAAAAAATAAAATGTAACATCAGTGTTGAAAGGTGTTTCCAGATGGCATTTTATTAGCTACTGAGAAGGCTATTTCTATTCTCTATCAACTGCACACATCACAGCAACAATTTTCACTTTTCTATATGATAAGTTCTCATTGTTGCATGAGATGCTAAATAACACTTGGAGGACTGGCCCATAAAATATTTTTTGAAAATGCCATGTTCATGGTATAGTTCATAGGATCACAAATGCAGATTTGCTTTATTTGCTTGAAGGTCAGACAATGTCAGTAATATTCCTTCACCCTTTTAGAAATTATTTCTGCTTTTGACCTCTCTTATAAAAGTTCCACTGAATGTTGTATATCTCAGAATAACTTTAAGTAGGAAAAAGAAATTGTTTGAGAGTTTATTCAACTGAGCACATTCCAAATGTTTAAGACTAGAAGTTCCTTTGTGAAAGCAGGTCAAGTTAATTTTATTAAAAAATAGTGAACATAGGGGCAACTCCTAAGCTCTTACATGACATTATGTAAAGAGAAATCTTTCTTTGTCTATTTTCCATGAAATTCCCTGTCATTTTCCTCTCTACTTTTCTACTTGCATCTTTTTCATAAGGACTTTCTGGAACAAATTCACTCAGCATTCCCTAAAAGTATAGATTAAAAGAAAACCAAACACAAAAGAAGAACCAAACCAGATTTAGGGTTTAATAAATATATTTTAGGCTAAACTCTGGATGGACCTTATATCTTGACGTGTTGATTTCCATGGTTATTAAGAACATGAGAACTGGGTCATAATAAACCCTTGATCTGAATAGGGGAAATAAAGGATTATAGAGGAAAAAAAAATCTAACCAAATGGAAACCAAGGACTCTCCTGACCTGCTCATTATTGTCTGCCAAGGGATTTACCTGAAACCATGGAATGTGGTTGTCCTAACAAATGTTCTTAACAAAAGTACTTGGAGCATTAAAAAGAAGGCACACTGATTGGTTAGTGTTCATGTCAAATGATCTGGGCATCAAAATAGTTCTGTGGTAAGAGTATAAATTTCCATTAGCAATGAATATCCAATACGGAGGGAGAAGAAAGCTGAATAAAAGACTGTGGTATCCTGTAAAGATGAAGTCCTCAGTTAAAAAAAGGAAAGGAAAGGTGTGGAGGAAACAGGATGAATTGGATCAGAGGTAAGACAAGTGACATCTGCACAGACTGTGCTGGCCACTTCACATTTAACTATCGCAATCACCCTAAAAAGAACGTGTCATGGTTCCCAATGAGAAATGGGCCCAGAGTACTAAAATGGCTTTTCAGTCAAGTGGTGGAGACAAGAATTTATACCAGGGATATCACCAAAGTCTGCTCCATTTCCGTAGATGACAGCTTCATTCTCATGCAACTCCCATGCTCTCTCTGAGAAGCATCCATGGCCTCAGCCAGGCTATTTCAGCAGAAGCCGGAGACACTTGCCCCTTCGCCATTTTTGCTACTTCTGCTCAATTTAGATTTTTCTTTTTATTAATTTTTAATTTTTATCAGTACATAATTGTTGTACATACTTATGGGGTAAGTGTGATATTTTATACAAGCATACAATGTGTAATGATCAAATCAGAGTAATTGTGATACCCATCACCTCAACTGCCCATTTGCCTCTGGTACAAAAGGACTGCTCAGCTGCTGCCCTCTCTTGCTAACTGCTCCAGATGACTTAGACCAAAAGCCCTTTATCCCAAACTAAAAATTATTTCCTGTTTAGAGGCAAAAAAAGAATAAAGCATTTATTCACTGATTCAGTTGCCTAAATGGAATTGGTAGTAGTCCCTCAGGAGATAGGGGAAGAGGAGACACAAGAAACTGATGAAAGCACTGTGAAAGGCCAGGATACTATGAACAATTTTAGAAAGGAGGAAGTTCTAGTTGTTTTTTCAGGGTAATGTGGATTGGGTGCTACTAAATTAGATAAAGTCAATGACCTTAAATGTGACTAGCACAGCTCCCATGAATTCAACTTTACTATGTGATCTTTCTCCATAGTTGATGTTCTACACTTTCCTCTTCTAACAGATGGAAAAACTGACACTGAGAAGGTGAAATGACTTCCTCAAAGTTTTATAGCCAAGTTGTGGTGAAGAAATGATTAGACTCTCAGCTGCTCTTATTCAGCTTGCAGGGTTAAACAGGACAAAATCAAGTTTCTGCACACACTGGTGCTAGAATTCACTTCAGTGTCATCTGTCCAGCCTAATAAATTCTCCTCCCTTGCTTCCCTTTCATCTCCCTCTTCTGTTTCAGGTTCACCTGAGTTCCAACAAGCCTGACTCCTGAACATGTCCCTTGTGGGTCAGTCCCATATGCCACCACTTATATATAGACAGAGAATTTGTCTTTCAAATTATACAGGTGACAGATGATTACACACTTTCTATGATGTGAAAAAATATGAAAGTATATAGAACAAATGTGAAAACCCTCCTTCATCCCAGTCTCTAGATATATTCACCATAAAATGTTATACGTGCATCATTAACACATACTTCAAAATGTTTTGAAATTGTTTTATCTTAATGGCATAATTCTATATGTGTAGTTCTAGAAATTGTATTATAAAAATTTAATATGTCCTAGGTCAGTGTGTATTAATCTACCCCATTCTTTGCACATTCTTTATATTTCAGAACTACAGTTATGTAATCATTCTCCTATTGATGAGCATTTGGGTTATATCAAGGTATGCACCTATATGAATGTTTATTCAAATTCATTCCTAGAACTGAAATTGTCGGTTTAGTACTTTTCAGCATTAATATTCATTTTTCTATTAAAGAATAAAAGAAGCCTCTTCTTGGTGTCCCAAATTTGAAAGGAAAAGTTGTAATAGTGTGTCAGCATCATCATATTTTTATGGAAGAGTGAGTGGGCTGAGCAGTGACAGGCCACATCCTTGGAGTTTTTCCTCAGGTGGCTTTATCTGTGTCCATTTCTCTGCTAAGGTAGATAGTCTCTGCTACCCAGACCTTTGAGCTGAAAGAAAAATCTCACCTATGGAGGCCTGAAAAACCAGTGCAAGTAACATATGATTATTCCTTGACATTACCTTGAGTTGGAAACAAAAAGGGATTGTTTGGAAACACCCTTTGATACGGCATTTAGCTTTTAGAGTTCTGTAACTTTCACTGCCTGCCTCATAGAAAGAATCAGTAAAAATAAATGAATGAATAAATGAACAAATAAGACTGACAAAAGGAAATGATCTAGTCTTCCCGATATTTGGTCAAGAATTTTGCAAAACACCAGGATGATTTACTTGGGATATTTTGACCATGTGCTGGAATTTTTACTTTGTAAGCGAGACCAAAGCTCCAGAGTCAGAGTGCATCATTCAGAAGGTAAACACAAGAAGAGAGGCTCATTTTCTAAGTAAAATGACAGAATTGACTGAAGGCCAGCTGAGTCCCAGTCACGGGTATCAGCTCTCAGGAAAGTTAGGTATGATACATGCAAATGTTTCATACATGCAAATGTCTCTATTTGTCTGCCTCTTTCGTGTGTTTTGTTCTGTGGAATTTCCCCCACCTTCTTCATCCATAGGACTTGGTTGGATGTCTGGGCAACTTACTTTCAAGAATATTACTAACTTAAGTTTATGATGACACGTGCACAAGAAGCTAGGATGGTGACACTGTGGAAAATGTTCACTTTTCAAAATCATTGAAAACTTCTTAGTGGTTTGAAGATCGGATGGAGGGCATGGCACTATGATTTTTCTCATTGAGAAAAACAGAGGTATTGTGACACTGATTTTGAGATAAGGTAAAAATGAAAAACAGTTTTTCATTCATTTACTTTTTATTGCAGCCTCAGAAAATATGGCTATTATTTGATGTATTACTTCTGAGTTTAGTAAAATGTTATATAACATGTATCTATTTTGTTGTAATTTATTCTTCATTTCTCTGGTTTCTTTATTCAATTACTCACCAAATATTTATATACCATATGTTATGCATTAACACATAACAGATGTGTAACCAATTAGACATAGCACATATACAATAGTTTTATGTAATTTTCCTTCGTTCCTTCTTTCCTCCCTCCCTCTCTCTCTCCTTCTCACCCTTTGTTCCTTCCTCTTTCTACTCTCTCATTCTTCCTGTATGTGTTTAATGAATATGTTATGTGTCAATTTTATAGCACTAAGTTGTACTAAATGTTGACCAAAGCAGTTTTATAGTCCAATGTGGCAGACAGCAGACATAATGTTAATAGGTGGCACTGGGATGAGGGTGTGGAGACAAAAACATTAGATTGGCCAGAAAAGGCCTTTTACAGGAGGTGGCTTGGAGGAAAGGGATAAGGGGGAGAAGTTCAGGAACCTGTGAAATATTAAACACTCTGACTAATTTTTGCTTTTAGATAGCTGCATTTTTGGAATTCCTACTGATAATCTCGCTCTTATTTTAGTGAGTTGATCTTTGTCTAAAACATCTACCAGCACCTCCACACTGACATTCCTAATATTCTACTCTCCTGCAAGATCAATGTCATATTTGCTATTTTTCAAGTCTGATTTCTTATGGCTAACACTCCAAAATTCTAGTTCTAATCTTACTCCATTAATATTAATGTAAGAGCCTATCCAAAATTTCCACTTTGGATTCCAATTTCCATTTCAAATTACCAGTTCCAAAAAATCACTGTATCTCAAACCAGACATTATTTTACCTTCCAAACAAATTATTTATCTCACTGCTCTCATTTCTCTTAGCAACATCAACATTGTTTTAGTATGTCAGGCTAGAATATTTGGAAATTTCTTTCATTTTTCTTTAATCCCCCATATTTCTTTTGTCATCTGATTTTGTCTTTTTTTTTTCTTCTGACATATTTATCAGAGGCACACATCTACCCAATTTCCAGTCCTTTTACCATCTTTGCTCTTAGGCATTGTGTCATAGTGACCATTGCCATGGCCTCTCACATCTGGACTCACCCTTCCCAGCACAAGCTGCATCTTTCAGCCAGGTTCATTATTTTTGGATGATACTTTGATCATGACATTTCTCCACTCAGAACTACTGTGTCTTACGAATGCTCACTTACTTATATGTGGATCTCCTCTTTCCCCCATTACCTGGCCCCTTAAGGCCCATTCAGCCTCATTCCCACAGCTCCTCCATGTGGCCCTCAGGCATTCACAATGCCATCCAAGCTCCCTGTCACATGCCGGCCTCCTTGCCTCCTTGTTTTGCTTATACTTGCACTTTACTTATTTTTTTCCATAAAGAAAAGAAAACACATTTACTATTCATTAAGTGAAAGCGGTCCATTATAAAGGTCTTTCTTTTAAAAAAGTTTTTTTTTTTTTTTTTTTTAGGTTCAAGGGGTTCATGTGCAGGTTTGCTACATGGGTAAATTGCATGTAGTGGGGATTTTGTGTACAGATAATTTTGTCACTCAGGTAATGAGAAAATAACTAATAGGCAGTTTTTCAATCCTCACCATCCTCCCACCCTCCACCCTCAAGTAGGTGCCAATGTTTATTGTTTCCTTCTTTGTGTCTATCTGTACACAATGTTTAGCTCCTACTTATAAGTGAGAACATGTGGTATTTGGTTTTCTGCTCCTCCATTAATTCACATACAATAATGGCTTCCAGCTCCATCCATGTTGCTGTAAAGGCCATCATCTCATTATTTTTCATGGCTGCATAGTATTCTGTGGTGTATATGTATTATATTTTCTTTATCCAGCCTACCACTGATGGGCATCTAGGTTGAGTCTTTGCTATTGTGAATAGTGCTGTGATGAATATATATGTGTGCATGTGTCTTTATGGTAGAACAATTCATATTGCTTTGGGTATATACCCAATAATGACGTTGCTGTGTCAAATAAATTGTAGTTCTATTTTAAGTTCTTTAAGAAACCTCTAGACTGCTTTCCACATTGGCTGAATTAATTTACATCCTCATCAGCAGTGTATAAGCATTCTCTTTTCTCTGCAACCTAGCCAACATCTGCTATTTTTTGACTTTTTAATAATGGCCATTCTGATTAGGGCGAGATGATGACTCATCATGGTTTTGATTTGCATTTCTCTAGTGATTAGTGATAATGAGCATTTTTTTCATATGCCTGTTGGCTAGTCATATGCAGAAGACTGAAACTGGACCCCTACTTTTTGCAACATACAAAAATAATCTCAAGATGGATTAAAGACTGAAATGTGAAACCTAAAACTATAAATACCCTAGAAGAAAACCTAGGAAATACTATTCTGGATGTCAGTCCAGGCAAAGATTTTATGATGAGGGCTCCAAAATCAATTGCAACAAAAGCAAAAATTGACCAATGGGACCTAATTAAACTGAAAAGCTTCTGCACAGCAAAAGAAACTATCGACAGAGTAACCTAAAGAATGGGAAAAATTATTTGCAAACTATGTACCCAACAAAGGTCTAATGTCCAGAATCTATAAGGAACTTAAATTGACAAGTAA
Organism: Homo sapiens; assembly: GCF_000001405.40. Lineage (NCBI taxonomy): Eukaryota > Metazoa > Chordata > Mammalia > Primates > Hominidae > Homo > Homo sapiens. Next base: position 49,413,300 of record NC_000006.12, on the reverse strand, counting down.
AAAACAGCCCCGTTAAAAAATGGGCAAAGGGCATGAATGGACACTTCTCAAACACTTGCACTTCAGATGCCATTCTTCATCCTTTCTCACTCATCGATTCCCACCTATCCCAACATTCTACCTGCTCTGTTAGGCTCCCTTCTTTACCCTTCTAAACACACACTCAATATTACTGCTTTTGCTAATATGTTTGCCTCCGCCTGTAATGCACTCTCTCCTCATCTCAATCCTTTCTTTACTGTTAAGTGACATGCCACCTCCTCTCAAAAATCTGCCTGTATTTTTCCATCTTTCTCCATGTGCCCATGGAATACTGGGATTCATATTCCTATTAGAGCATTTATTAATTGGTGTTGTATTAGACTGTGCTCTTTGAGGGCAAAGACTAAGTCTAATTTAGCCTGACTTTCTCCACAGGCTAACTCTTGCACAAAGTATGTGCCCAATAAATTCTGTGGGACTAAACTTCTTGGCTGATCTTGCATTTATAGCCCCTGTCTTTGAGTTTAGGTGCTCATTTGGTGCTAATTTTTTCTTGTTTGCTAATGTCCTCCTCGATGATAAGCTAATTTTTGGTGGTGATTCTGCTGTGTAGCACGTGGTTTTCTTGACTCAGTCTCCAGTCTTAAATGTCCACTCTAGTTCTAATTGATGTCTGTGATTTCTAAATTTGTATACTACTAGACTTACAAAGTTGAAGAAAGCTTCATTTGTGCTACATTGCTAGTCTTTTTCGTTACCAATATTAACTTTTCTTGTTAAAAAATATGAAAAGGGTAATTTACTTTGCAAGGTAATGTAAAGATTAAGTCAGATAATTTATTTGAAAGTGCTTTATGAATTGTCAATTATCATACAACATGGTGTTATTAGTAATAGTAAATTGTATGCCTCTTGAGAGTAAAATATACCTTTTACTGTGTGGCAGATTTTGCCTACTAATCATCTACCAGCTGTCTGCACCCTACATGGTCCTTTGTACTTCTTTGCCAGCAGAATATTGGTCCCACAGTAGGGGCTAAATATGTCTAATATTCTTTCTCCTGTATCACTTGCAGCTAGAACCTGGGCAGTGGACTCAATTTTGGCCAAGGAGTCCTGAGTGGAAACCCGCTGTGTGATTTCTGGGATAAATTTTGCTTCCTGTTTTTTTTAAATGCATGAAAATAAAATTTTCTGTTTTCTGTCTTGCTGTGGTTGCCCGGGACCATGATGGTAATCTTGCCACCCCAAGAGAAAAGCCAAAAATGAGTGCCAGTTATCTATGTGTGGCAGAGTGGAAAGGTATAAGGAACATGGGCTCTTGTTCTGTTGTTGAACTACTACCTACACCCTGAAACTACTTCGCCTCCAGAACTTTTGTTATAGAAGAAAATAACTGTTCTTATCAATTAAACCACTTTTAAGCTGCATATTCTGTTCCTTGTACCCCAAAGGATTCTACTTCTATTATATCCTTCACAGTGTCAAGGCCAAGGTTAGATTCTTAAGTACTCCCTGTTTGATTATAATTGTACTTATTTTCTTCTCATGTTTTTGTAAAATGGGTACTAATATTCATCAACTCCTTGCAAAGGCAAAGAAATTACACTCCAAGAAAACATAGACACATTGATTGTTAAGATTATATGACCGTGTCATTATCAGGATGCCACAGACGCAAGGCCTGAAATAAACAAGACTTAAATTGAAAGCAGAAATACTATAGGCAAGATGAAAAGAGTCAACACAAATGAAAACTGTGATGGAGGACAGCTTCTAACTGTGACTCTGCGACTGGTAACAATGCAAAGCTTCATAACCTCTTGGGTAAATAGCTCTCATACTCCCATCATTGTGCTAATGTCTCCCTCATTTCTCTTTCTCATGTCTGAGGTCAATGTATCAAATTACATTATTTAATGGCCTATATTATAATTTAATTTCAATAGGATTGACCACATTTATACTCAGAAATGCTCAAAATCATATGTATGCTTTTTAAGGAAATTTCCCTTGGAAAAATTCCAAGCCTATTATTAAGAACCTGTGTCGGCCGGGCGCGGTGGCTCACGCCTGTAATCTCAGCACTTTGGGAGGCCAAGGTGGGAGGATCACGAGGTCAGAAGATCGAGACCATCCTGGCTAACATGGTGAAACTCCGTCTCTGCTAAAAATACAAAAAATTAGCTGGGCGTGGTGGCAGGTGCCTGTAGTCCCAGCTACTCGGGAGGCTGAGGCAGGAGAATGGTGTGAACCCGGGAGGCTGAGGTTGCAGTGAGCTGAGATAGCACCACTGCACTCCAGCCTGGGCGACAGAGCAAGACTCTGTCAAAAAAAAAAAAAAAAAAAAAGAATCTGTGTCACCCAAGTAATCCATCTAAAATGGTTTATCAGGCTACAACCATAATATAAATGGTACAAATACGTTGGATAATCTTCATGTTAAAGCTGTGCTTTCTGATTATATCCTATCCAGCAGTTAACTCTTAGTATGAAGAGGAAATAGAGCTTGAATGACTGACAAATGCACCTATCAAGTAATTGGACTGGGCTGGTTGTCAGTGGCTTAAAAAAATTTATGACCCATGAAATTTCTTAGTAGTGTCGTTATTGTCCATGGTACCCGACCAAAATGAAGGCTTTGTTTTCAACTGCAGCTGGATTATCATTTCAGATATTAGGACAGAGCTCCTTACTTTAAAAGTTCCCTAAAGTGAAAGATGGAATTTCAGATGTGAAAGGGTTCAGCTTTTCTTCTCTCTGAATTGATATTGCTACCAAATTTAATATCCTTATTATCTAGTGTGGAGACACAATTATCAAAGCGAGGCACATTGTTAAATTAGGCAAAGAAAGGTGTGAAACCAGGAAACACAGATGAGAATGAGAGAATTCGAATCAATGATGGAAACCGAGTTTGGAAAATCCCTGAGTCTAGAGGTATCCACAACAGAGGAATCTGTTGCCTCAGGCTGAGTGGTGAGAGAGCTCTTAGGAGTCCCCACCTATTACAAACTTGGATTTGGATAACGGCAAGAGTTGTGTAAAGGGAATTTAGAATTATTGGCCGTGCATCCTAGCAGTGTTAGCCTCTCAGGCGCCTCTGGTCATTTCAGCTCATCTGTAACAGTGAACAGATGACAGCTGCCTCAATATTGTGTGCTACGTTGAAGGAGCTGCTATACCACAAATGGCCAGGAGAGGTCAGCATCGGAAGTACATGACGGCACTCCTGGATTTTCAGAAAAACTGTGATAGCTACAAGGAAATCAAAAGGAAAATATCTGTGAACAATATATCAGATAAGGGGTTAATTTCCAAAATATGTAAGGAAATGTAGGGAACTCCTGTCACTAAATGCCATATATATATATATATTATATTATAATCTATCTAAATGATAGGCAAGGATTATAAACACAAAAGAATTAAAAAAATAGGCAAGGACTGGAACAGAAATTTCTCCTATTGACATATAAACAGCCAATAGGTATATGAGATGCTCAACATTATTGATCATTAGAGCAATTAATATAAAATTATAATGAGATATTATTCATGCCTGTTAGAATGCCTTTTATATATATATATATATATATATATATATATATATATATATATATATATAAACAAAAGATAAGTGTTAGTGAGGATGTGAAGAAATTGGAACTCTTGCACATTGTTGGTGAGAATGTAAAATGGTGCATCAGCTACAAAAAACAGTGTGGAGTTTCCTCAAAACAGTTAAAAATAGAACTATTATATAAATAAATCAAGAATCCTACTTCTGGATATATATCCAAAAAAACTGAAATCAGGTTCACCATGATATATCTGCACTCCCATGTTCCTTGCAGTGTTCTTCAAAATAGCCAAGATAAAAAAGCAACACAAGTGTCCATAGACAGATGAATGGATTTTAAAAATGTGGTATATACATACAATAAGATATTATTCACTATTAAAAAAGAAGAAAATCCTGCCATTTGCACAACATAATAAACCTGGAGCACACTATGTTAAGGGAAATAGGCCACTCACAGACGGACAAATATTGCATGATCCCGCTTATGTGTGATGTCTATAATAGTTAAACTCATAGAGGTAGAGAATATAATAGTGGTTTCCCAGACCAGAGGGGTGGAGGAAATGGGGAGTTGTTCCATTAGTATAAAGTTTCTCTTACGTCAGATAAGCAGATTATAAAGATATGCCATATGACATAGTCCCTATAGCTAACAATGTTGTATTATGTATTTCAAAATGTTAGGAGGGTAGATCTCAGGTTCAAAAGGAAAATATTTGCAAACCATATATTAAGTGTTCTTACTATAAAAACAAACAAACAGCTGAAAAACAAAAACAAAAGAAAATAAAACTTTGGGAGATGTCATTCTCCTTAGGAAGAGGCAATCTAATATGCTTTCTGTGCTTTGAGGCCAGAAAATCAAGGAAACAGCTTACTACAGTAGATATTGCCTGGGATCTATACTCAGTAGATCTGGATTTCCATCTGGAGTCTACCTCCTTTTAAGGAATCATGTAACTTCTTTTAACTTGAGTTTTCTCACATATTAAAATAGGGTTCATAATATGTACTTTACAAAGTTATACTAAATTATAAGGTTATTGTGGAAATGAGTTAAACATTTGGAAACCAATGGGTACGTATAAATTGATAAAAATATTTTTTGGAAATTATAAGAACTTTTCCTTTTCTAACAAAATGGAAATAAGCCAAGTCGTTAGAAGCAGGAGAAAACTGAGCAGTGATACCTATAGAAGTCTGGGTCTGGGTTACAAAAAACAAAGCAAACAACTCTGACTAAATGGAATTTATTGACAGGACAATACATAGTTTTCTGAACTTAAGGGATGGCTGAAGAGGTAGACATGGAGGTGGACCAAAATTTGGAATGATGTCACAGCCAAAATTTCACCCTGTGAAGTTTGCTGATGCTGCTGCTGGCTCCATTGTTACTGGATGTGGTTTCCAGGACATCAGTCCCTATTGCCACCATCATCTTATCCTTAGACCCTCTGCTATTGCTTGAGTCTCAACTTTATCATAGCTGCTCTGAGTAAACACTAATTTTTTCTTTATTTATTTCAACAATATTTCTGTAGTTTTTAAGGTATATATTTTGCCCTTACATTAAATTTATTCCTCAGTGTTTAATTCTTTCTGATGTTATTGTAAGTCAATTATTTTCTTAATTTCATTTTCAGATTGTTCATTGCTAGTGTATCGAAATAAAATTTATTTTCTTGTAGTCCATAAACATGCTGAATGAATGTATTCGTTCAAATTAATTTTTTAGTGATTTTTTCTAGATTCTCTATATGCAAGATAATGATACTTGAAAATGGAGATAATTTTAGTCATTCCTTTTCAATCTGGTTACCTTTCATTATCTTGCAACTTATCCTGGCTAGGACCGCCAATACAATGTTGAATAAAAGTGGCAAGAATAAACACTTTTGTCTTCTTCCTAGTCTTAGGGAAAAGCATTCAGTCTTTCTCCATAAGTATGATGTTAGCTTAGTTTTTATAGGTGTTATTTATCAGATTGAGAAAGTTGTATACTATTCCTAGTTTATTGAGTGTTTTGTCATGAAGGAATTTTAGATTTTGTAAAATGCTTTTTTTTCCTGAATCTAGTTAGATGATCATGTGGATTTTGTCCTTTATTCTACTGATATGATGTACTACACTTATTTTCAAATTTAAACTACTTGGTCATGGTGTAAAATTTTTTTATATATTGTGGCTGATTCTGTTGGTATTTTATTAAAGTCTTAATTTTCTCTAAACTTGTATCATTCTCTCAAGGTTTGAAGGTTCCAATGTTCAAAATCTCAGTTGGGGCATCTATTGGTTGATTCTATGCCTGATACCCACTGCTAGCTGCCAAAGGGCTGAAGAACACAGTCTTTCTTGTTTTTTAGGTAGTAAGAAATGGAGCCTGAATCTCACCTTTACTTTAGGATTTAGGTTTCTTCTCAAACAGGAAAAATGGTTATTTGCTAGACATCCAAAAATGACAAATGTTCATTACAATATTCCATACAAACATTCATGTTTTATGTTATACATTTACATTCATATTTATAAGCACACAGTATAATTTCATGAAAGGGCAGCAGGATTTTTTATTTTATAAAGTAAATTGAATCATTCCCAGCTTTGCATTTTCACTTTGATGTGCAGCCTCTTTGGTGTCTTTGGGCTAACAATGTAGGCAAGGTGAGAGGTTTACTACCTAAGTTACAGATGCCACTGGGAGCACGTTTGGTGATTTTTGGTGTGATATATTTTAAGTGCTGAAGAGCCTTCTTCTCTATTTTTCTTCTTAAAGCCAGTGCCTTCTGCTGGGTGAACATGGTAACAACCCAGCTCAGGAAAGTCAGAAGTCACTTTTCGCCCTACTCCGTTCTCATGCTTCTGTGTTAATTCTTCCTGTTCATACCATCCTTCAACTCTTGACACATACACACAAGTGTACTGGCAAAGCAAGTGTAAAGGCCTCACAAATCCCTGCATGGAATTTGGAAGCTGAGTCAGAAGGAGGTTAAGTGCCTAACCCTAGCTCTTCCAGCACAGTGAGAGCTCCTCAGAATTGAGGTGCTCATCCATGCTTGTGAATTGATTACCTTAAGCACCATGATTTAACACAGCCCTGCCTTTCTAGAGCAGCAGGGAGGGAGCAGGAAACTCTACACTGTGCCAAGCAGAATTAGCTTTTGAGTTTAGGTCACAAAACTACCAGCCCTGGAACCGAGGATCTCTCCTGGTTACCCTTCAGCTTACACTCTATTGAGGGCGAGGCATCACTGATAATTGAACACGTTACTCTATTTGTGACAGGATAATGTTACTCAACATTCAGCCTGTCTCCAAGTGTGCTATGCAAGTGGATGATCTCACTCTTTGATTACAGGGGAAATGCAAGAGAAATGTACTCTTACATTTTAAATTAAATCCCACATTTTTCTTGGAAATTAATTTAAAATGATTGAATAAATATTTATCTGAGAAAATGCTTCTGAATTTTTGTGGAGAGACATCAGATGAGGATTTAGTCAACAAGCTGGAATAGGGGAATGGGGTCATGACTGAGCCAGGAGTGTGCCAGTGGCAGCAGAGAGATGTTGATCAAGACACCCTCTGAGGACAAATTGTGGGATTTATAAGCATTGTCACATCCTGAGGCACAGAATAGCGAAGTGGGAGACTGTGCAAACCCTTTTAAGGTTATTGAAAATTTTTTGCAAACAGATCCAAGTTCATGTTTAGGCTAATAGGAGGAGTGTATTTATGAAATGAGATTTTAAGGTCTTTGAACTCTGTGAAACTTCATTAGCTTATCATTAGTGATTCTAACACCACCAGTAAGAACCATTTTTTGGGATTTCAGGAATAGCTCTCCAGTGATGCTGTTTAATGTTTTATCTTTTAAAGCATTTTTATTATTTTAAAAATAAATTTTGTCATGTATATTTGAGGCTTACAACATGATATTATGGGATAAATGTAGATAGTAAAATGATTACCATAGTGAAGCAGATTAACATATACATCATCTCATATGGTTACTTTTTTATGACAAGAACAGTTAAAATCTACATATTTAACAAAAATCCCCAATACAATTTTATTAACCATAATCCTCATGTTGTACATTAGATCTCTAGACTTGTTCATAGTACCTATATGTTTTAGTTATGCTCTTTTAAAGTGCAAATATTCCTGGGAAAAGTAACATGTAAAACTGTAGTCAGGTTTTCTCCACTTAATTTGAAACACTTTTGTTTTATCTAATTTATTTTAGACATCATTATTGGCACCTATAACATAGGGTTTCCTTGGTGTATGGATGAGAGATAGATGATACATAACTAAATGACTAATGAAGTGAAATATCTCTACAAGAAAAACTATAAAACATAGATTAAAAAATTATAGATGACACAAACAAATGGGAAAATAACCCATGCTCATGAATTAGAAGAGGCAATATCATTAAAATGACCATACTGCCCAAAATAATCTACAGATTCAATGCAATTCCTATCAAAACACCAGTATCATTTTTCACAGAATTAGAAAGAAAAAGCTACAATTCTTATAGAATCAAAAAAGAGCCCAAATAACCAAAGCAATTCTAAGTAAAAAGAACAAAGCTGGAGGCACCACAGTATCTGACTTCAAATTATACTACAAGGCTATAGTAACCAAAACAGCATGGTATTGGTACAAGGATAAACACATAAATCAATGGAATAGAATAGAGAACCCAGAAATAAAGACTTACACCTATGGCCAACTAATCTTCAGCAAAATTGACACAAACTTACACTAGGGAAGGGACAGCCTCTTCAATAAATGGTACTGGGAAAATTGGACAGCTATATGCAGAAGAATAAAAGTGGGACCCATGTTTCTCACCATATTAAAAAAATCAACTCCATTTAATCCCATTAGGATGGATTATAGACTTAAATGTGGAAACTGAAACTATAGAATTCCTAGAAGAAAACCTCAGAAAAACTCTTCTGGCCTAGGCAAAGAATTCATGACTAAGACCTCAAAAGCAAATGCAACAAAAACAAACATAGACAAGTAGGACTTAAACCATAAAGCTTCTGCAGAGCAAAAGAAATAATCAACAGAGTGAACAAAAAACCAATATGATGAGAGAAAATATTTGCAAACTATGCATCTGACAAAGGACTAATATCCAGAATCTACAGGGAACTCAAATAAGTCAACAAGAAAAAAACAAATAACCCCATTAAAAAGTGGACAAAACACTTGAATAGAAATTTTCTAAAGAATACATAAAAATGGTCAATAAGCATGTGAAAAAATAGCCAACATCACTGATCACCAGAGAAATGCAAATTAAAACCACAATGTGATATTATCTTAAACCAGTTAGGATGGCTATTATTAGAAAGTCAAGAAATACTATTATTTCTTGTTCACTGTTGGTGTGAAAGTAAATTAGTACAACTTCTATCAAAAACAGTATAGAGGTTTCTTAAAAAACTAAAACCAGAACTACCATTCAATCCAGCAATCCCACTACTGGGTATCTACCCAAAGGAAAGAAATCATTATATTAAAAAGATATCTACACTCATACACTGATATGCTTATCACAGCCCTATTTACAATATCAAAGATATGAAATTAACCTAAATGTCCATTAACAGATGACTAGATAGAGAAAATGTCGGGGATGAGTGTGTATACACACACTATATGTATAGTGATACACTATGTATATCATGGAATACTACATATTTCAGTATTTAGTGCTGAATATATATATAATATAAATATATAAATATTTTATATATATGATAGAATGCTACTCAACCATAAAAAAGAATGAAATCACATCTTCGCAGCAATACAGATGGAACTGGAAGCCATTATCTTAAGTGAAATAACTCAGAAACATACAGTCAAATACCACATGTTCTCACTTTATAAATGGGAGCTAAATAGTGTGTACACACAAACATGCAGAGTGGAATAATAGATACTGGAGACTTGGAATGTGGGCAGGTGGGAAGTGGGTGAGGAATGGGAAATTACTTAATAGATACAATGTACACTATTGGGTGATGGTTGCATCAATAAATCAGACCTCACTGCTACTCAATATATTCATGTAACAAAAGTGCACATGTACCTCCTGAATCTATAAAAAAAAAAATTTCCCTTCATGACAGCTATGGTAAAAGCACTAACCATGTGCCTAAAAATAGACATTAATTTCTCATAAAGAAAGAGATCGTGAAGGCTTAATTAATTAAAGTAGGTAAAGTATCTAGTAAGTGTCTTGGTGTACAGTAGCTGCTCAGCGAATTTTAGTTATTTTAAGTTCCCCTTTCCCTTTCTCCTTTTCATACTCTCCCACTCACATTTTTCTGAAGAAAATAGGAGGCATGGCTTTGTGGCTTAGGAGGCATCAGTTCTTGCTAGACACCTAAAGACAGAGACATATATAAAAACGGAAGTGGAAGTCCACTGAGAACAAATTTATCATTTCACTGTGATTTCGGGGGGCAGTATAAACAGGGTTTAAGACTCTAGAATTTGGAGTACGGAGCTTAACTCTGATTCCTGCTAGCTGTGGGATCATGATAAACTAAACCTCATCTGCAAATTATGATAACAATATCTATATCAATATATGTACTGGAAGAACAAACATAACAAGATAACGTATGTCAAGTACCTATTTCAGTACCTGGCACTTGTTATAGTAGCTATTTAGAGCTTTACTGAATACGGATCCTCCCTAATGGACACCCTGCCTCTTCTTTTGTGTGAATTTAGCATGCCCTTCCTCCATGGATTCTTGTCCATGGGCCGTAAGAAACTCATATTTTAATCCTGTATCTTCTAAAGTGCAATACTCTGAGCACTTAAGTTCGGAGAAAGAAAAAGGAAGAAAGAAGAAGCAATATGGTTGAGAACGGAGGTGACTCCAGAGGAATTGCTTAATCCCTTGTTTTAAACTTGCAGTTTTCTTATTTATTTATAATTTTTTTTCAACTTTTATTTTAGGTTGAGGTGGTACATGTAAAGGTTTGTCACATGGGTAAATTGCATGTCACTGGGGTTTGGTGTACAAATGATTTTGTCACCCAGGTAGCCATCAAAATACCAGTTAGGTCGTTTTTTGATCCTCACCCTCATCCAACCCTCCCTCATCAAAGGCCTCAGTGTCTGTTGTTCCCTCTTTACGTCCATGTGTGCTCAATGCTTAGCTCCCACATACAAGTGAGAGCATTAGATATTTGGTCTGTTCCTGAATTAATTCACTGAGGATAATGGCTGCATCCATGTGCTGCAAAGGACATTTTAAGTACAATTTTTATTTTATGTCTTAGATTTATAGGAAAATTGAAATGATGGTACAGAGAGTTCTCCTATTTCCCCTATTGTTAACACCTTACATTAGTATGGTACATTTTTTACAATTAATGGACCAATATTGATACATAATTATTAACTAAAATCTGTATTCTATTCACATTTCCTTTGGTTTTTTTACATAATGCCCTTGTCTCTTTAGGCTCCTTTTGGCTATGAGATTTTCTTGGACTTTCCTTATTTTTGATGAGCTTGACACCTTTGAGGACTACTATACAGATATCTTTTAGAATGTTCCTCAACTGAGATTTGTCTGATGTTTTCCTCATGATTAAACTGAGGTTACATATTTTGGGGAGCAGCACCAGAGCTGAAGGCCATTTTCATCAAATAAAATCAAGGGTACACACTATCAACATGACTAATCATTGTTGATGTAGAGGACAGCAGGTACCCATCTGAGGGGACTGTAAGGGAACCCACATTCATTGAACATGTGGTTAGGTCTGTTTTGTTTGTGACCCCATTTAATACTCACAACCACTTAAAGAGGTATGTTTTAATTATCACCATTTTGTAGTTATAGAAACTGGGATAAGTTGAAAAACTTTCTCACCCCAGCATGCAAAATACAGACTTTGTATTCGGAAGACTCAGGTCTATCTGATGCTAAAACTTCTTCTCTCCACTATACCATTTTGTTTTCTTTGTAATTATATAAGATTTAAAATGTTGGCTGAGATTTTATGTAAATAGAACTAAGGATGTTGTGTGATATACTATTTGATAAATTGAGTAGGAAACATGCAACTTCTTTGATATTGGATTCAGATGAGTATGTTATTGGGAGACACTTGTTGGTAATTTAGGGCACACCTAAACTAATTTAGTCTTATGTGAGATTTATGAATTTATGAATTGAAGCTGATGAACAGAGATGAAATGTGAGCAGGCTGAGGTGAGGAAATATTATACTCAGATGTAATGTTCAGTTGCTATCAAATAAGTTTATCAGACTTGATCTGGAGATTTGATGGATAATTTATGAAATATTCAGAGAAAACCCTCTGTGTTGTTCATGCCAATCATTCTTTTGTATGAGGGATTTTTATGGTGCCAAGAGTGAGAGTGGAAGGACCGACCATGATTCACTATTTTAATGCTCTGGCACAATGCCCTGTGTCCCTGGTAGTATTAGTTTGATCTTTGAGGCACTGATAGGTCCAGGGAATATATGTATACATGAATTTCGAAACCTCATTTCTTTCTAGGCCAGATGCACTTGTGTTTACAAATTTTAAAGTATTGGTTATAAAATAGAAAAGTGTCTCATCACCGCTAAATACAAACTTTCAGATAAGCAGTTAATAGTGGTAACCTAGAATAGTGTCGGTATCAAGGATATAGGAATTTAACTGACCTCAGACTGAAATATATACATGTGGCTATCATGGACAACTAAAAGAAGGACAAGTTTCACACCTACATTTTAAAATTAGAATTGCAACAAAGAGTGGTTACAGGGCTGAAGCCAAGACTCCATTAGTTGATGTACTGAGTTAGGCAATGCTTTCTATTAGGAGTGGGGTTTGACAGGTACAATTTGCCTAAGGACAGTTGGGACTCTGCAGTTGACACTTTGTTGTTTGCCATTCATTTTTCTTGTGTTTCTTGGTAGTAATATTCCAGGTTTCTTTGGGGAAAAACTCCTTAGCCCCTGGCCCTGGTCCTCAAACTTACAGTTTCAGGAATGGATTCTGATTGGTTTAAACAAATCAGGATAGCCCTCTCCATAGTTACACTAATTGGCTACGGATGAGTAATTGATTTAAAAGAGTCCAATCAATGTAAGTCTAAAAAATTTTATTTGAAATGATGAAGATGAGATTCTTCTGATATTGAGAGAAGCAACGTAGAACTGCTGCAGCTAGAGGGGAAGACCCCGGAGTTGCTGGGTGGAGACATAAGGTAGAACCCTAGAATGGGTCAAATCTGCGGAAGGAGAATCGAGTGGTAAATTCCAGAAGATGTTTTTGGAATTCCAGATAAAGCTGGTGCCTGAAGTCAGATATCTGACAGGAGCAATTAAATCACCTTTTTTGTTTGACTGATGAAGGCTGTCACACTTATTTATGTAATTATTTATTTCATATGTGAAATGTTCCTAAGTGATAAGGGGCTCAAATGTAGTTAGAATGCAAAAACAAATTATAAGGTAAATGAGAAAAAAAATCACCATAAAAGCCACTATAATTGAAAATGGCACCTGGCATATGAGGCATAGCTTCTGTAGAGACTGGTATGACTGCGTTAGAACATCCTAGCACCTATCGTACTTCGTACATCACTTCCCCTTGCCCATGGGAGCGGCAAATCGGAATAAAAAGCTGATTTATTCAGGAGTCCACAAGCTCTGCTGTGAAGTTTTCTATGGCTGGAGAGAGAAAGAAAGAGAGAGGAAACAAGAGATAGGAACAGGTATCAATAGCTGAAGACCATTGGTAGGGAAATGACCAGGCTCTGAGGAGGTCAGTAAGCAATGTATTCAGTGACCTGAGATCAGCAGAGCAACAGCAGATATTGGTGCAGAGGAACTGCAACTCTGATTCTATGAGAAAAACACACGGAGGACTCTTGGAGGGAAGGTACCATAAGCCACAGCCAATGCTGCTGGGGAATAAGTGGTCCGCAGGTGAGGTGATTGAAAATATTCTGGAAGTGAAAACCCCGAAAAGGGGAAGAATTTATATTTGTCAGCAGAGTGGGCATGAACGCTTATCACCGAGAGATCTTGGAACAGCACAGTTTTGGGCATAATCACTCAGGTTCCCCAGACACTCTGTGGTTGATCATTTTCAAACTTCAGAGCATTCAGTCTCCAGAGAAGAAAGATAGTGCAGCCTCAGTATTGAAAATGTCAGTATCAATCAATGCCACAAATGCTCTTTAGAGATTTCAAATTTATAAGTCTATTAGGGAATTGGATGTTTATTTTTGCCCACTGTGGTTGCCTACTGTGGTGACACAAGACTACCGGCCAGGAACTTGAGTTTTATGTTTGGCTCTTTCTTTAGTTAGCTGGTTATCTGGACTCCGAGGGTCTTCCTTTGCCACTAATTAGTAATGGATATTTACATAAATTTCTAAACCTTTTTAGTTTGTTTTTCTTGAAAATGTGACTAATAAATATAACACAGGGCTGTTGTGAAGATAGATTGCATGAATATTTCAAATCCTTTAGGGCAGTGCCTGGAACACAGAAAAATAGATCTCAAATGAGTATACACATCTTCCAAAAGACATAATTTTGGGGTAGGAAAGGTATGTGAACATTGCTTATTACTAGATTTCTTAATAAAGCATCCAAAATCAAATAATCTTTCAGGCTTCTCAATGACTCCTCAAAGACTAACCCTGTGCCACTGTGAAGTGAGGTTTAGTTGGACTGTCTTTTGAATGTAGCAGTTGGTATATACAGCACTGGGCTCCAAACAGAGCAGTGAGAGGTTGGTGCATCCATGGAAAAAGAATGTTCAGATTAGAAGTGGCACATTTTATCATGTGTTTAATTCATTCATTTCCATGGTGGTATGTATGGTGGTGGTTGGTGTAATGTGATATAATCATTATTAGAAAAAAAAAGATAGAGGATGAGTATGACGTGATATATGGATTCACTGGTTTGAGGAACTCTAGATTTTATTAATACCACACTTTTGTCTCCATTATGAATTGATATCATACATTAAAGATTTCTGATAATGAGAAAAATGCTCAGACCTAAACACAAAAGAAATGAGATATAAACAAGTAGCAAAATCTTCAATTAGCCAAAGACATTAGAAAGAATGCTGCTTTTATAAGACTTAACAAATGAAGTGTTATTTCATCTCAAGGAATTAAAAAAAATTGAGACTTAAGGGTAATAGCCAGTTTCAAGAAAATCAATGCTAATTAAATAAGAACAAGCTGTTCTTTCTAACAGTACCCTCGAGGAGGGAAAACCTGACATTCCCCTTTGTCACAAGACTTACTGACAGCATGTCAAGCTTTAATACAGAAGATGACTGCACAGGTGTGCTGGGCATTCACAAAGATCCAGTGATGAAGGCACGAATTTGTATTGAATTTGATGAGCATGTTTCCCCAGAGAAGAGAAGTTGCATATTCAGACACTTAGGATGTAAGTTGTGGTTAGATTAGCGGTAAGAGACTGATTATCCAGATGCTGTTTGAAATTGTTAACATAAATGTATTGTACCAGTCTAATATTTTGTTCTATAAAGAATAGACAATACAAACAAACCAAAGTTGTCTTTTGGCATCAGGCCAATCCTTATACTTGTGTCACCTCTTCATTAAGAAATTGGGGCTCTAGGCTGGGCACAGTGGCTCCCGCCTATAATCCCAGCACTTTGGGAGGCCGAGGCAGGCAGATTACCTGAGGTCAGGAGTTCAAGACCAGCCTGGCCAACATGGTGAAACCCCGTCTCCATTAAAAATACAAAAATTAGCCAGGCATGGTGGCAGGTGCCTGTAATCCCAGCTACTTGGGAGGCTATGGCAGGAGAATCGCTTGAACCCGGGAGGTGGAGGTTGCAGTGAGCTGAGATCACGTCATTGTACTCCAGCTGGGGGACAAGAGTGAGACTTCACCTCAAACAAACAAACAAACAAACAAACAAACATGGGGCTCTAAGCCTTATTTTACTTTACTCAAATTCTTACTTTCACATTGATGATATAAATGTGTGGCTCCTTAATCCTATTTCTGGAGGCTTGGTTGCCCCTTCAACTCTTCTACTTTTAAGATCTCATCTTCTTACACTTCCCCTGAGCCATTGTCTTCTCTCTATTTTCTGTATCTTAATCTTTCTCTCTTGACTGGCTTGCTTCACTCGCCTTCATCCATGCCCTTGCTGAGAGATCCATTCTCTGTCATCCAATAATTCTCCCCTTCTTACACCAACTTCTCTAAATGTTCATTCTATCACTAGCTGTTCCTTATCCCTCTTTTTCTCCATGAACCATGACACTCTAGTTTCTTGCTCTTACTGCTAAAAGGAAACTGCTCTTAGTAAAGATTAAAGGCATTAATGATTTCCTAAATATAATTCTATCAGATATCTTTCAGGAATTGTCTTCTTGGATTGATCTTGTTCATTTGCTGCTTTTGTTCTCTTTTGACTTCTCAAAAGGACATTTCACTTCTTTGACAATCATAACACAACAGTCTGTTGCTTCTATTGACACTTCTTTGCCTATTTCCTTTACACTTTTGTGTGAGTTCTTCTTTTTTCACTTTAAAAAAAATGTCCTTTCTCCCTATGTTTCCCATTCAAGCCACAGCCCTTACTCTGCACATACACTTTCCAAGTGACCACCAAAGTGATCCATTTCAAATTTGGGTGTGATGATACCATGTGATTGCTTTAAATCCTTCAATAACTCCTCAAGGATAAATTTTTTATGTGGTAAATATTCTTTTCTATTATCTGTTCTCTACCTAACTCTGTAGTCCCATATCTCTTTATTTTGTTTTATTGTCTGCTTAAATTTTTAATTTTTTATTTCAATAGGTTTTTGGGGAACATGTAGTGTTTGGTTACATGAATAAGTTCTTTAGTGGTGATTTCTGAGATTTTGGTGCACCCATCACCCAAGCAGTATACATTGTACCCAATCTGTAGTCTTTTATCCCTCACCATCCTCCCACCCTTCCTCCTAGTCCTCAAAGTCCGATGTTTTATATCATTTGTATGCCTTTGCATCCTCACAGCTTGGCTCCCATGTATGAGTGAGAACATGATGTTTGGTTTTTCATTCCTGAATTACTTTACTTGGAATAATAGTCTCCAACTCCATTCAGCTTGCTGCGAATGCCGTTATTTTACTCCTTTTTATGGCTGAGTAGTATTCTAATACATATATATATATCACATCATATTTTCTTTTTCTACTCATTGATGGGCATTTGAGTAGACCCATATCACTTAAGTCTCTGCTTTATAATGTATAATCTAGCAATTTAGAGCTTTTTAGAGTTTCCCACTGTGCTTTCTCAGTGAGTTACTCTTGCCTGTATTGCCCCTTCTGCCAGTTATGTCCTTCCCTGCTCTACTCTACACTATCCTTACCCTTATGTCAGGTTAATACCTACACATATTCTTGATCTCAGCTCAAATAGATACTTAGGAAGCCCTTTCATTATGCGACAGTCTAAGTTAGGGGTCACTCCTTGGTGCACACATAGCACATGTGCAGGTCTCCATTAGTGCACCTACTTCATAATATTATTCATAATATTATAATTATCTATTTATGGGTCCACATTCCTCACAGACAATGCATTCTTTGTGATCAGGAGCTATTTATTTATCTTTGTATATCTGGAGCCCTGAACAGTATCTGGAATATCAATGTAGTTAATCCTTTATTATGATTTCCCAAAAACACTTCTCAGGAAAAGATTGTCTTTCTTTGTCTCATTCTGCCAGAATTTTTCGAACTTGATAATGACAAAGTTCTGTCAGACATACAGTCATGCATTGCATAACAACAGGAATACCTAAGAAATACATTGTTAGGTGATTTTGCCATTGTGTGATCATCATGGAGTGCACTTACACAAACCTAGATAGTACAGCCTACCACAAACCTAGGCTATATGGTCTAATCTATTGGTCCTAGGCTGCAAACCTGTACAGCATAGTGCTGTATTGAATACTGTTGGCAATTGTAACACAATGGTAAGTGTTTGTGTATCTAAACTATCTAAACATACAGAAGGTATAGGAAAACAATGGTCTTATAATCTTATGGGAACATCATTGTATATGTGTTCTATCATTGACCAAAATGTCCTTAATCAAAATGTGGTTATGTGGTGCATGACTGTATTTATTTTGTGCTACTTATAAGGATTATAAGCTTTAAGGTTCTAAATAAGAATTGAGAGATTAAGTAAAAAATAAAATAGGTAAAAAGATTTTCTATTTTCTACAAATTTACATTATAAGAATCCAAGATATTTGTTTTATTCTGTGTATTAGTCCATTTTCATACTGCTATGAAGAAATACCCGAACTGGGAAGTTTATAAAGAAAAAGAGGTTTAATGGACTCATAATTTGACCTTGCTGGGGAAGCCTCACAATCATGGCAGAAGGCAAAGGAGGAGCAAAGACATGTCTCACATGGTGGCAGGCAAGAGCATGTGCGGGGGATCTGCTCTTTATAAAACCATCAGATCTCATGAGACTTATTCACTATTAAGAGAACAGCACAGGAAAAACCTGCCCCCATGATTCAATTACCTCTCATCAGATCCCTCCTACAACACATGTGGATTATGGGAGCTACAATTCAAGATGAGATTTGAGTGGGGACACAGCCAAACCATATCATTCTGGAATGTCAAAACTTTACAGTTATTACATAATTACATTTTTATTTATTAAATACTCTATGTATTACTTCTAATATTAGTGTCCATGTGACTCATAATCTAGGAGAAAAATCAAGTTCCAGTTTCTGAATGGAGCAACTTTCTTTGGTCATGTGCCTGAGAAACATTCAAAGAATGAACAACCTGAATTTTCCATTTTTTAGCCCAACCTTCATGCCTTAGGATTTACCCTATAGTCAGGGACAAATTCAGAATGTGTGGGCTGGGCATGGTGTCTCATGCCTGTAATCCCAGCACTTTGAGAGGCTGAGGTGGGTGGATCACAAGGTCAGGAGATCAAAACCATTCTGGCCAACATGGTGAAACCCTGTCTCTACTAAAAATACAAAAAAATGTAGCTGGGCATGGTGGTGTGCGCCTGTAGTCCCAGCTACTCAGGAAGCTGAGGCAGGAGAATCGTTTGAACCCAGAAGGCGGAGGTTGCAGTGAGCCGAGATCGTGCCACTGAACTCCAGCCTGGGCGACAGAGTGAGACTCCATCTCAAAAAAAAAAAAAAAAAAAAAAAAAAAGAATGTGTTACTTGGACAAGGTAGGTAGCTGGTAGCTCTAAATTGCACTCCTTGTTAGATCTCTCTCATTTACATCTATATTCTTAACTTATTTGGTCACTGGTTTTATCAAGCTTATTCTAAATATGAACCTCAGAGAGGAAATCAACTACATCTTCTACACTTTTAGATAACCTGAGCCTGTCCTATTTTCTTAGTATGCCCTAAGCATTTACCTATGGGTATATCTTCTTTAATTAAAGGTATCATAATAGTTAAATATAAAGTCCCAGAGACACTACTTTTGGCATAACTTTCAATTATTAAAAAACACTCCACGAAACCTGTGGGACTGAATTTTGCTGATGCATTGCAACAAAGAGCCTTTCTCTTGTTTTTCATTTGTCCTTTCACTGCTGCTAAACTTCCTCTAATTGCTGTTTTTATTTATGTGACCCCAGGATGCATTGCCACCAAATGAAGAACATGCCAAAGGAAATAAACAAGTTTGTTCCTAAAATCACCTGAGGCCGTCATTAAAAAAATTGGGAGACTGATCCTAATAAAATATTGGAGGAGAAACAAGTTGGATAGGCCATGGTATCACCTAACAGCATCTCCTCTCAGGGCAGAAATCTCTTCTACAACTTTCTTAATTGAACCAGTGAGGGATGTACCAGTGAGGGAGAACATTCTAGATCATTTATGTGTATTTTATATACATATTTTAAGTAATTGCTTAATGTATATTTTATTTTATATTCTATTCATTTGCTTTACATTCAAACTTTAAACATTTCCTAGGTCTGCATGGCTCGCACTTCTTGCTTCCTTTCTTCCATTTAACTCACATCAACACTTAAGACTAATATCAGTTTGGGCTCAGGCAGATGTGTGTCTGAATCTAAGCTCTTATCAGTTCTTAATGGAAGAACATTAGCTAAGTTACTTAATATCTCTAAACTTTAATTTTTTCATCTGTAAAATGGAGATGATAATGATTACGATGTTGTTATAGGAATTTAGTTTGATAATATACATATACATTAATTTCATTCTTTTTCCTTTTTTAGGAATTTAGTATCTGGAAGTACAAGACCCTGTCCTGATCTCAAGGAGCTCAGAGTTTAGTGAAGAAGACAGATGACAAGTGTTGACTAGTGTAATGTGAAGTGTGTTACTGGAGTTACACACACAGTGCAAGCCTATATACATGTGTCATGTTTCATTAGACTATCCAAAATTATCTAAACATAAACTTAAACATTTCAAAAGTTATATGTATTTATAAGCTTCAGAAATTACAGATAATCAAAAAGACAAAAGAAAATCATACTCTAAGCATTGTTGACATCTTGTAGTATTGATATTTTTCTCTGCTGTATTTACATAGATATGTCATATCTATGTCTATATGTGATGCATTTGTAAATAAATGGGTTCACATTAAATATTACTTTTTGTGACTTTGCTTGTTTCCTCAAAATAGACTATGAATTGCTTTCAATTTTAAACTATTTTTTTTGCATCCCATTTTGTGCTTCTGTTTCCTTTTTCTTTTTTTTTTTTATTATTATTATACTTTAAGTTTTAGGGTACATGTGCACAATGTGCAGGTTAGTTACATATGTATACATGTGCCATGATGGTGCGCTGCACCCACTAACTCGTCATCTAGCATTAGGTATATCACCCATTGCTATCCCTCCCCCCTCCCCCCACCCCACAACAGTCCCTAGAGTGTGATGTTCCCCTTCCTGTGTCCATGTGTTCTCATTGTTCAATTCCCACCTATGAGTGAGAATATGCGGTGTTTGGTTTTTTGTTCTTGCGATAGTTTACTGAGAATGATGATTTCCAATTTCATCCATGTCCCTACAAAGGACATGAACTCATCATTTTTTATGGCTGCATAGTATTCCATGGTGTATATGTACAACATTTTCTTAATCCAGTCTATCATTCTTGGACATTTGGGTTGGTTCCAAGTCTTTGCTATTGTGAATAGTGCCGCAGTAAACATACATGTGTATGTGTCTTTATAGCAGCATGATTTATAGTCCTTTGGGTATATACCCAGTAATGGGATGGCTGGGTCAAATGGTATTTCTAGTTCTAGATCCCTGAGGAATCGCCACACTGACTTCCACAATGGTTGAACTAGCTTACAGTCCCACCAACAGTGTAAAAGTGTTCCTATTTCTCCACATCCTCTCCAGCACCTGTTGTTTCCTGACTTTTTAATGATTGCCATTCTAACTGGTGTGAGATGGTATCTCATTGTAGTTTTGATTTGCATTTCTCTGATGGCCAGTGATGGTGAGCATTTTTTCATGTGTTTTTTGGCTGCATATATGTCTTCTTTTGAGAAGTGTCTGTTCATGTCCTTTGCCCACTTTTTGATGGGGTTGTTTGTTTTTTTCTTGTAAATTTGTTTGAGTTCATTGTAGATTCTGGATATTAGCCCTTTGTCAGATGAGTAGGTTGTGAAAATTTTCTCCCATTCTGTAGGTTGCCTGTTCACTCTGATGGTAGTTTCTTTTGCTGTGCAGAAGCTCTTTAGTTTAATTAGATCCCATTTGTCAATTTTGGCTTTTGTTGCCATTGCTTTTGGTGTTTTAGACATGAAGTCCTTGCCCATGCCTATGTCCTGAATGGTAATGCCTAGGTTTTCTTCTAGGGTTTTTATGGTTTTAGGTCTAATGTTTAAGTCTTAATCCATCTTGAAATGATTTTTGTATAAGGTGTAAGGAAGGGATCCAGTTTCAGCTTTCTACATATGGCTAGTCAGTTTTCCCAGCACCATTTATTAAATAGGGAATCTTTTCCCCATTGCTTGTTTTTCTCAGGTTTGTCAAAGATTAGATAGTTGTAGATATGCGGCGTTATTTCTGAGGGCTCTGTTCTGTTCCATTGATCTATCTCTCTGTTTTGGTACCAGTACCATGCTGTTTTGGTTACTGTAGCCTTGTAGTAAAGTTTGAAGTCAGGTGGTGTGATGCCTCCAGCTTTGTTCTTTTGGCTTAGGATTGACTTGGCGATGTGGGCTCTTTTTTGGTTCCATATGAATTTTAAAGTAGTTTTTTCCAATTCTGTGAAGAAAGTCATTGGTAGCTTGATGGGGATGGCATTGAATCTGTAAATTACCTTGGGCAGTATGGCCATTTTCACGATATTGATTCTTCCTACCCATGAGCATGGAATGTTCTTCCATTTGTTTGTATCCTCTTTTATTTCCTTGAGCAGTGGTTTGTAGTTCTCCTTGAAGAGGTCCTTCACATCCCTTGTAAGTTGGATTCCTAGGTATTTTATTCTCTTTGAAGCAATTGTGAATGGGAGTTCACTCATGATTTGGCTCTCTGTTTGTCTGTTGTTGGTGTATACGAATGCTTGTGATTTTTGCACATTGATTTTGTATCCTGAGACTTTGCTGAAGTTGCTTATCAGCTTAAGGAGATTTTGGGCTGAGACAATGGGGTTTTCTAGATATACAATCATGTCATCTGCAAACATGGACAATTTGACTTCCTCTTTTCCTAATTGAATACCCTTTATTTCCTTCTCCTGCCTAATTGCCCTGGCCAGAATTTCCAACAGTATGTTGAATAGGAGTGGTGAGAGAGGGCATCCCTGCCTTGTGCCAGTTTTCAAAGGGAATGCTTCCAGTTTCTGCCCATTCAGTATGATATTGGCTGTAAGTTTGTCATAGATAGCTCTTATTATTTTGAAATGTGTCCCATCAATACCTAATTTATTGAGAGTTTTTAGCATGAAGCGTTGTTGAATTTTGTCAAAGGCCTTTTCTGCATCTATTGAGATAATCATGTGGTTTTTGTCTTTGGTTCTGTTTATATGCTGGATTACATTTATTGATTTGCATATATTGAACCAGCCTTGCATCCCAGGGATGAAGCCCACTTGATCATGGTGGATAAGCTTTTTGATGTGCTGCTGGATTCGGTTTGCCAGTATTTTATTGAGGATTTTTGCATCAATGTTCATCAAGGATATTGGTCTAAAATTCTCTTTTTTGGTTGTGTCTCTGCCAGGTTTTGGTATCAGGACAATGCTGGCCTCATAAAATGAGTTAGGGAGGATTCCCTCTTTTTCTATTGATTGGAATAGTTTCAGAAGGAATGGTACCAATTCCTCCTTGTACCTCTGGTAGAATTCAGCTGTGAATCCATCTGGTCCTGGACTCTTTTTGGTTGGTAAGCTATTGATTATTGCCACAATTTCAGATCCTGTTATCGGTCTATTCAGAGATTCAACTTCTTCCTGGTTTAGTCTTGGGAGAGTGTATGTGTCGAGGAATTTATCCATTTCTTCTAGATTTTCTAGTTTATTTGCGTAGAGGTGTTTATAGTATTCTCTGATGGTAGTTTGTATTTCTGTGGGATCGGTGGTGATATCCCCTTTATCATTTTTTATTGCGTCTATTTGATTCTTCTCTCTTTTTTTCTTTAGTAGTCTTGCTAGCGATTTAACAATTTTGTTGATCCTTTCAAAAAACCAGCTCCTGGATTTATAATTTTTTGAAGGGTTTTTTGTGTCTCTATTTCCTTCAGTTCTGCTCTGATTTTAGTTATTTCTTGCCTTCTGCTAGCTTTTGAATGTGTTTGCTCTTGCTTTTCTAGTTCTTTTAATTGTGATGTTAGGGTGTCAATTTTGGATCTTTCCTGCTTTCTCTTGTGGGCATTTAGTGCTATAAATTTCCCTCTACACACTGCTTTGAATGTGTCCCAGAGATTCTGGTATGTGTCTTTGTTCTCGTTGGTTTCAAAGAACATCTTTATTTCTGCCTTCATTTCGTTATGTACCCAGTAGTCATTCAGGAGCAGGTTGTTCTGTTTCCATGTAGTTGAGCGATTTTGAGTGAGATTCTTAATCCTGAGTTCTAGTTTGATTGCACTGTGGTCTGAGAGATAGTTTGTGATAATTTCTGTTCTTTTACATTTGCTGAGGAGAGCTTTACTTCCAAGTATGTGGTCAGTTTTGGAATAGGTGTGATGTGGTGCTGAAAAAAATGTATATTCTGTTGATTTGGGGTGGAGAATTCTGTAGATGTCTATTAGGTCTGCTTGGTGCAGAGCTGAGTTCAATTCCTGGGTATCCTCGTTGACTTTCTGTCTCGTTGATCTGTCTAATGTTGACAGTGGGGTGTTAAAGTCTCCGATTATTAATGTGTGGGAGTCTAAGTCTCTTTGTAGGTCACTAAGGACTTGCTTTATGAATCTGGGTGCTCCTGTATTGGGAGCATATATATTTAGGACAGTTAGCTCTTCTTGTTGAATTGATCCCTTTACCATTAAGTAATGGGCTTCTTTGTCTCTTTTGATCTTTGTTGGTTTAAAGTCTGTTTTATCAGAGACTAGGATTGCAACACCTGACTTTTTTTGTTTTCCATTTGCTTGGTAGATCTTCCTCCATCCTTTTATTTTGAGCCTATGTGTGTCTCTGCACATGAGATGGGTTTCCTGAATACAGCACACTGATGGGTCTTGACTCTTTATCCAATTTGCCAGTCTGTGTCTTTTAATTGGAGCATTTAGTCCATTTACATTTAAAGTTAATATTGTTATGTGTGAATTTGATCCTGTCATTATGATGTTAGCTGGTTATTTTGCTGGATAGTTGATGCAGTTTCTTCCTAGTCTTGATGGTCTTTACATTTTGGCATGATTTGGCAGTGGCTGGTAACAGTTGTTCCTTTCCATGTTTAGCGCTTCCTTCAGGAGCTCTTTTAGGTCAGGCCTGGTGGTGACAAAATCTCTCAGCATTTGCTTGTCTGTAAAGTATTTTATTTCTCCTTCACTTATGAAGCTTAGTTTGGCTGGATATGAAATTCTGGGTTGAAAATTCTTTTCTTTAAGAATGTTGAATATTGGCCCCCACTCTCTTCTGGCTTGTAGAGTTTCTGCTGAGAGATCAGCTGTTAGTCTGATGGGCTTCCATTTGAGGGTAACCCGACCTTTCTCTCTGGCTGCCCTTAACATTTTTTCCTTCATTTCAACTTTGGTGAATCTGACAAGTATGTGTCTTGGAGTTGCTCTTCTCGAGGAGTATCTTTGTGGCGTTCTCTGTATTTCCTGAATCTGAATGTTGGCCTGCCTTGCTAGATTGGGGAAATTCTCCTGGATAATATCCTGCAGAGTGTTTTCCAACTTGGTTCCATTCTCCCCGTCACTTTCAGGTACACCAATCAGACGTAGATTTGGTCTTTTCACATAGTCCCATATTTCTTGGAGGCTTTGCTCATTTCTTTTTATTCTTTTTTCTCTAAACTTCCCTTCTTGCTTCATTTCATTCATTTCATCTTCCATCGCTGATACCCTTTCTTCCAGTTGATCGCATGGGCTCCTGAGGCTTCTGCATTCTTCACGTAGTTCTCAAGCCTTGGTTTTCAGCTCCATCAGCTCCTTTAAGGACTTCTCTGTATTGGTTATTCTAGTTATACATTCTTCTAAATTTTTTTCAAAGTTTTCAACTTCTTTGCCTTTGGTTTGAATGTCCTTCGTAGCTCGGAGCAATTTGATCATCTGAAGCCTTCTTCTCTCAGCTCGTCGAAGTCATTCTCCATCCAGCTTTGTTCCATTGCTGGTGAGGAACTGCGTTCCTTTGGAGGAGGAGAGGCGCTCTGCTTTTTAGAGTTTCCAGTTTTTCTGCTCTGTTTTTTCCCCATCTTTGTGGTTTTATCTACTTTTGGTCTTTGATGATGGTGATGTACAGATGGGTTTTTGGTGTGGATGTCCTTTCTGTTTGTTAGTTTTCCTTCTAACAGACAGGACCCTCAGCTGCAGGTCTGTTGGAGTACCAGGCTGTGTGAGGTGTCAGTGTGCCCCTGCTGGGGGGTGCCTCCCAGTTAGGCTGCTGGGGGGTCAGGGGTGAGGGACCCACTTGAGGAGGCAGTCTGCCCGTTCTCAGATCTCCAGCTGCGTGCTGGGAGAACCACTGCTCTCTTCAAAGCTGTCAGACAGCGACATTTAAGTCTGCAGAGGTTACTGCTGTCTTTTTGTTTGTCTGTGCCCTGCCCCCAGAGGTGGAGCCTACAGAGGCAGGCAGGCCTCCTTGAGCTGTGGTGGGCTCCACCCAGTTTGAGCTTCCCGGCTGCTTTGTTTACCTAAGCAAGCCTGGGCAATGGCGGGCTCCCCTCCCCCAGCCTCGCTGCCGCCTTGCAGTTTGATCTCAGACTTCTGTGCTAGCAATCAGCGAGACTCCGTGGGTGTAGGACACTCTGAGCCATTGCGGGATATAATCTCCTGGTGCGCCATTTTTTAAGCCCGTCGGTAAAGCGCAGTATTCGGGTGGGAGTAACCCGATTTTCCAGGTGCCATCCATCACCACTTTCTTTGACTAGGAAAGGGAACTCCCTGACCCCTTGCACTTCCTGAGTGAGGCAATGCCTCGCCCTGCTTCGGCTCGCGCACGGTGCATTCACCCACTGACCTGCGCCCACTGTCTGGCACTCCCTAGTGAGATGAACCCGGTACCTCAGATGAAAATACAGAAATCACCCGTCTTCTGCATCGCTCACGCTGAGAGCTGTAGACCGGAGCTGTTCCTATTCGGCCATCTTGGCTCCTCCACCTGTTTCCCTTTTCAAGGCACCCCAGAAGAATTTAGTATGTACTCTCTCTTTCTATAACCCCTCCCTGGATTTGGCTGTAACTCCCTATGATAGCAGTGTATCACTTGGTTCCCTGAACTATAAATGTCACTTTTAACATCTGCTATATTGCTGGACCCTTGTAGAAAAAAAATTAAATATAGAACGAGGTTGTACTTCGTTCTGCCAATCCCTTGCCCTTTTTAATACTATGGCACTTAAAACAGAACACAGTGAACAGAATGTTACCTCTTTAATGTACAGTTTAAAAAAAGTCATTAACTGACTCAATTAGCTGAAAGTCTACACTAATTCAGGCAGAAACAGGGCCAAAGTTTTGTTTTTCATAGTATATTAAAAAAACTTTTTAAAAAGAAAATTAGTATCACACATACACGCTTAGAAAAGCATAGTTTAGATTCTTGAGAGAAAATAATTTTCATGTCTTTTAGGCAGACTATTTCAAAACATTATATATATGTATATGTCTTAAACACATATTTTATAATCTGAGTATTAATTTACCCTTCTCAGAATTGAGTGGCACTGAAAAACTTCCATTTGACCACTCTTAATATAGTCTCAAAAATATGAACAATATTTATTATGTGAGTACCCTGGGGCAAGTCATTTAGTCTTTGAGTCTTAGTTTTGTCAACTGTGAAGAGAGAATACAATAATTCTTTCATAATAGGGTTATTGAAAGATCTATACAAACTGAGAAGTATTGTATAAACAATATTACTTAGTCCCAACTGCTATATGAACTTAAGTATAATTATACTTTTCTTTAAAGCATCATATAAATCAGCTTTTCCTCAATTCAAAATGATCTTTTTCTCAGAATTAGTGATGCTATAATTCATTGAGACAATACGGTTACATATGTTTCTCTAGCATGTCTTATTGTTAATAAATCAATTTTTTCTCAACCGCATATGTCATTATTATTTTCATAAATGCATCACAGGTAAGTTAAGAAAGGAGGTGGTTTAGAGGAACAATTGAGGATAAAGTGGAATGATGGTTCAGAATTGTCAATTTCCCATTTTATGTGTTCACTTTCAATGAATTCACTGAGATTCTCATTGAGAGTGGGTTGGAGAGAAGGGTGTCTTATTCTGTGCAAAGGTCTTGTGGTGGAGTTGAATGTTTCCGGTGCTGTTTTCCCAGATGCTCCACGGTGTATTTCTTTTGCAGGTTCAGCACAAAGCAGAGGGTATCACTGGGGACAAAGGATTCACATTCCTCTTTCCATTCTTGGTGTTTGGTTTGTGTTCTGCTAAACATGAATAGGTAGGAAACATACGAGCAAGATCTGAGATACTAGGCTTGTTCTCTCTCTCTCTGGTAGTGGAAGATGGAAGAGGATCTTCCTTGCTTCCTCTGTTTCCATTCTTCCTTGCTTGGGTTTCTCTTTGGCTTGCCATTACCTTACTGATGAAGGATCCTGCCAGACTTTTCTGTGTTTGGATTAGGAATTTCTTTGAAAGCCAGAATCTGGTCCTTTTATTTATTTATTTTTTTGTTTGTTTGTTTCTCTGCACTGTACTCAGAGGGGGTATAATATATTTTGGTTGAAAATACTGATGGATCAAAGTTTTAATGTCAAAGAGAATATTCTATTGTATAGTACATAACTCAAAGGGCCTTTGAAGACTAGAAATAGCAAGCAAAGAAAGTCACTGAAACCTCTTTGATTCCCACATAGAAGTCAGAGCCACATTAGGAATTCCCAACTGTCGCAGAAACATCTGGGATGTTGTGCAATGCTTTCTTTCTTACCACTAACTCCAGAATGAACTTGGACTATTTCTTTCATATATGAAGGTAATAAATACGCCCCAATATGCAAAGTTAACCCTCCCACCTCCCAAAATCCATGTACACTTTTCTGAAAAGCAAAAGCATATCATTATTTGCCAAGAGAAGAATGCAAACAAAATACAAAAGAATAAGGATGTTGACTCATAAGTAAGCTTAATCTTTTCCCAGTTTAGGCCACATATTCAAAAACTCAATTAGATGATGTTTGGCTACACTGTAACTAAAAAGCAAATCATGGCTTTGTTTCTCTTTGGCTTAAGCTACTTCCTCAAAACCAGAAAACAAATTTTAAAGCATATTTCATTTGTCAGTCCAAACATAATCTCTTACTATGTGTATTCTTTTGCTAGAGCTGTCATAACAAAGTACCACAATGGGGTGGCTTAAACTGCAGAAATGTATTTTATCATAGTTCTGGAGACCAGAAGTCGAAGGTCAAGGTGTTGGCAGGATTGACATCTTCTGAAGTCTCACTCCTTGCTTTATTGATGATCGTCTTCTCCCTGTGTCTTTACTTGGTCTTCCCCCTGTATATCTAATCTCCTCTTCTTTTAAGGATACTGACTGAATTGGATTAGAGCCCAACTTAATGACCTCATTTTAACTTAATTACCTCTGTGAAGACCCTCTCCCAAATATAGTCACATTCTAAAGTACTGGGGGGTTAGAAATTCATCATATGAATTTTGGCGGGGGTGGAGAGGATAATTCAGCCCATAATACCGTGTTTAATGATACAAATAATAACAAAAGCTCCTCTAGACTTTGCCAATACTAATTAATTATTTTATATGATAGATTTCAAAAGGTAAATAGGCTTCTTACTATACACAAAATCATTTCTGTATAAGACAGATAAGAGTAAGATTACCCAAATTACCAAAATTTAGAAGATTTTTTACCCATCTTTTTATTTCATTTAAATGATCCGAGTCAGTACTGTTTCGTCATTATCATCTGTCATTTAAGATTGCAAAGGACTTTCAAATTGCTTTAAAAAAATTAAGTTAAACCTTGCAGAATTTTCCCTTTTTATCTTTGCAGCAATATTTTCCCCCAGACTATGTATACATTTGTGTTTGGGGTAGTTGTACAATGAGCTTCCTGGAGCACAGTGAACACTTTTGTTTATACATACTTATGCTATTCTATCTGTATATACAAGTTTCTTCATATTTTTGACCCTTATTTCTCTTCTTCCACAGAAATATGATATTTCTAAGGTTAAGTCTACATTTTCAGTCTTCTGTATCACTCTCTCCTTCATATGTTTTTCATAGCTGTGCATTTTCATTATTCTGTGAGAATTTCTAAATTTTGATTTCCAAATAGCACATTTCATTTTCTAACATATCAGTTATGTTCTTTATAGTCTCCACTACAAAATTTTAATTCTGCCTTTACTGTTATAGTTTCCTTCTTTTCCTCATATTCATTAAAAATTATCCTTAACGTCATAAAGATAAGTCTGCTTTGGTTATGAGAATCCCACTTTATGAGAATTTCCATTTAATGCCGGCACTTTGGCTAGTAAGGCAGATCTTTCGTTTTTTGTTTCTTTATTGAGGTATCATTCAAATAAGGAATGACTCGCCCTTCTTAGGTGAACAGTCTTATGTATTTTGACAGACTATGCAGTCATTTAACCACCACCACCAGAAAATGAAACATTTCTGTCACCCCTTGTTTAACGCTGTCCCTTCATTCTTAGGTCTGGCAACCACTAATCTGATTTTTATCTTCATAGTTTTGTCTTTGCAAGAACACCATATAACTGGAATCACATAATATGTAGCTTTAGAGACTGATTTTTTCAATTAGGATAATATCTTTGAGATTCATAATTTTGTTGCATATATTCATAGTTTGTTCTTTTTTATCCTTAAGTAATATTCTGGTATGTGGTATGCATATCAATTTGCTCATCCATTCATCAACTAATGAACCTTTTGGTTATTTTCAGCTTTTAGGAATTAGAAGTAAAGCTGCTCCAAACATTCATGTATAGGTTCATGTCTTTATTTCTCCTAGTTACATACTGAAAGGTGAAATTTCTGAATTGCATCAAGAGTGCAAATTTGATTTTATAAGAAACTACCACTGCTCAAGGAAATCAGAGAGGACACAAACGGAAAAACAATTCATCCTCATGGATAGGAAGAATCGATACTGTGAAAATGGCCTTGCCACCCAAAGTAATCTATAGATTCAATGCTATTTCCATTAAACTTCCATTGACATTCCTCACAGAATTAGAAAAAAACTACTTTAAAATTCAAATGGAGCCAAAAAAGAGCCCGTATAACCAACACAATCCTAAGCAAAAAGAAGAAAGTTGGAGGCTTCATGCTACCCAACTTCTAACCATACTACAAGGCTACAGTAACCAAAACAGCATGGTACTGGTACAAAAGCAGACACATAGACCAATGGAACAGAATAGAGATCTCAGAAATAAGACTGCACATCTACAATTGTCTGATCTTTGACAAACCTGACAAAAACAAGCAATGGGGAAATAATTTTCTATTTAATAAATGGTGCTTGGAAAATTGACTAGCCATAGGCAGAAAATTGAAACTTGACCTCTTCCTTACACCTTATACAAAAATTAATTCAGGATGGATTAAAGACTTAAATATAAAACCCAAAACTACAAAAACCTTGGAAGAAAATATAGGCAATACCATTCAGGACACAGGCATGGGGAAAGATTTCATGATGAAAATATCAAAAGCAGTTGCAAAAAAAGTAAACATTGACAAATGGGATCTAATTAAAGAGCTTCTGCACAGCAAAAGAAGCTATCATCAGAGTGAACAGACATCCTACAGAATGGGAAAAAAATTTTGCAATCTACCCATCTAACAAAGGTCTAATATTCAGAATCTACAAGGGACTTAAACAAATTTACAAGAGAAAATAAACAACCCCATTAAAAAATGGACAAAGGACACGAGCAGACACTTCTCAAAAGAAAACACTTATGTGGCCAACAAACATATATAAAATGCTCAACATTACTGATCATTAGAGAAATGAAAATCAAAACCACAATGAAATACCATCTCATGCCAGCCAGAATGGTGATTATTAAAAAGTCAAGAAAGAACAGATGCTGGTATGGCTAAGGATAAATAAGAATGCTTTTACGGCTGTGCGCGGTGGCTCACGCCTGTAATCCCAGCACATTGGGAGGCGGAGGCAGGCAGATCACGAGGTCAGGAGATCAAGACCATCCTGGCTAACACAGTGAAACCCCGTCTCTACTAAAAATACTAAAAAAATTAGCTGGGCGTGGTGGTGGGCCCCTGTAGTCCCAGCTACTCGGGAGGCTGAGGCAGGAGAATGGCGTGAACCCCAGAGGTGGAGCTTGCAGTGAGCCGAGATCGCACCACTGCACTCTAGCCTGGGCAACAGAGCTGGACTCAGCCTCAAAAAAAAAAAAAAAAGAAAAAAAAAATGCTTTTACACCATTGGTGGGAGTGTAAATTAGTTCAATCATTGTGGAAGACAATGTGGCGATTCCTCAAAGACCTACAGGCAGAAGTACCATTTGTCCCAGAAATCCCTTTACTGGGTATATACCCAAAGGAATATAAATCATTTTCTTATAAAGATACTTGCACACGTATGTTCA
This sequence comes from Homo sapiens, assembly GCF_000001405.40. Lineage (NCBI taxonomy): Eukaryota > Metazoa > Chordata > Mammalia > Primates > Hominidae > Homo > Homo sapiens. The sequence goes on along the minus strand of NC_000006.12, from coordinate 49,381,395 downwards.
TTTTAGCACTATTCACAATAGCAAAGAAATGGAAACAACCCAAATGCCCATCAATGATAGACTGGATAAGGAAAATGTGGTACATATACACCACGGAATACCATGCAGTCACAAAAAGGAATGAGATCATGCCCTTTGCGGGGACATGGATGAAGCTGGAAGCCATTATGCTTAGCAAACTAACGCAGGAACAGAAAACGAAACACCGCATGTTTTCACTTATAAGTGGGAGCTAAACAGTGAGAACACACGGACATAGGGAGGGGACCAACATACACTGGGGCCTCTGTTGGGGAGTTGCGGAAGGGAGAGCATCAGGATAAAGAGTTAATGGATGTGGGGCTTAATACCTAGGTGATGGGTTGATAGGTGCAGCAAACCACCATGGCACACATTTACCTATGTAACAAACCTGCATGTCCTGCATATGTCTCCAGGAACTTAAAATAAAATAAAATAAAATTTAAAAAATAAGAAACTACCAAACCATTTTTCATGGCTGAATTGCGTTACATTCCTCCCAGCAATATTCCAGTTGCTCTACATCTTTGTCAGTACTTGGTATTTTCAGTTTTAATAAGTATGTGGCAGCATATTTATGTGGTTTTAATTTGCATTTATATTTACTTAATGACAACTGATGCTGACATTATACATCTTTTCATGTGCTTGATTGCTATTCATATGTTTTCTTTTGTGAGGTTTCTGTTAAAATTATTTCCCCATATATTTATGGAGATGTCTTCTTATTACATTTTGATAATTGCTTATATATATATATATATATATTTAACAGTCATATATCTGATATACATCTTGCAAATATTTTTTCCTAGTCTAGGGATTGTCTTTTTTATTTCTTAATAATGCCTCTCTCAAGAGTGAAAGTTTTTAATTTTGATGAAGCCCAATTTATAATTTTTTATTTTATGGTTCTAGTTTTTTGTGTTCTCTCTAACAAAACTTAGCTTATTGCAGGTCACAATTTTTTTTCTGTGGTTTCTTCTATAGGTTTACCAGTTTAGGTCTATGTTCCATTTTTTATACCTCATGAGATATGAATTGAGGTTTCTCTTTTTGCATATGATTGTCCAATTGTTGTAGCAGTATTTGTTTAAAAGATATCCTTTATCCATTGAATTGCTTTGGAACCTTTGTTAATGATTGATTATATATGTGTGTAAGTCTATTTCTGAACTTTCATCCTGTTTTATTAAGGCATGAAAAATGTAATTTTGCCAATATCATTGATTTATAGAATCATTTTGCTAGTACTATACTCTATTGTATACTGTGGCTTCAGAGTAAATATTAAAATCTAGAAATTGTAGTCCTGCAAGTTGGTTTTTTTCCTTGAAATTGTTTGACTATTTTGTGTCATATGCTTTTCACATATATATACTTTTTTTTTTTTTTTGAGACAGCATCTCACTCTGTCACCCAGGCTGGAGTGCGGTGGTGTGATCTTGGCTCGCTGCAACCTTCACCTCCCGGGTTCAAGCGATTCTCCTGCCTCAGCTTCCTGAGCAGCTGGAATTATAGGCACGCGCCTCCACACCTGGCTAATTTTTATATTTTTAGTAGAGACGGGTTTTTTCCCGTCTGTTGGCCAGGCTGGTCCCGAACTCCTGGCATCAAGCGATCTGCTGGCCTCAGACTCCCAAAGTGTTGGGATTACAGGCATGAATCACCACACCCAGCCCCACTTTTCATATAAATTTAATAATTAATTTAAATATTTCTACTAGAAATCCTTCAGGAATTTTGATTTTGAACTTTTATATGTGTTTTTTATTATTGTTATTTTTTGCTTTATTGAATTGGCTAAGACCTCCAGCAATTCATTGAATGAAAAGTGTTGAAAGTGGACATCCTTGTCTTATTTTTGATCCTAGAGGTATTTCAAAATTTTTGCAGAGAGTCTAATGTTAGCTGTACGTTATTTGTAGACTTTTTCTTTAAAAAAATAGAGACAGGTTCACCCTTTTTCACCCAGGTTGGAGTGCAGTGGTGTGATCAATGCTTGACCTCCTTGCCTCAAGTGATTATATTGTCTCAGCCTCTCAAGGGATTCTCCTGCCTCAGCTTCTCAAGTAGCTAGGACTACAGGTGCCTGGTATCACACCTGACCTAAACTTTTCTAAAAAATCAGATTAAGGGCCAGGCATGGAGGCTCACACCTGTAATCCTGGCACGATGGGAGGCCAAGGCAAGTGGACGGCTTGAGGCCAAGAGTTTGAGACCAATCAGGTCAACATGGTGAAAACCCATCTGTGCTAAAAATACAAAAATTAGCCAGGTGAGGTGGAGCACACCTCCAATCCCAGCATACTTGGGAGGCTGAGACATGAGAATCGCTTGCACCCAGAAGACAGAGGTTGTGGTGAGCTGAACTTGCGCCACTGCACTCTAGCCTGGGCAACAGAGCAAGACTGTCTCAATTAAAAGAAAAAAATTAAAAGAAAAAATCAGATTAAGGAAGTCTTATTGTGTTCCTAGTTTGAAAGTTCTCTGTAAAAATTATGAATGGATTTTAAATTTAATAAAAAATTTTTCACATCTATTTATATATACTATTTTAATCTTTATTCTGTTAATATGGGAATTTGCGTGGTTGATTTTTAAATACTAAACCAACTCTACTTTCTTATAAGTAACCCTATCTGGTCATGATTGAACATTGTTCGAGTTTACTGCTAATATTTATTATGAGACATTAGTATTCATTTTCTCTTCTTGTAATGCTCTTTCCAGTGTTTGGTATAAGGAATATTCTGGCTTAAAAAATTAGTTTGGAAGTATTTTATTCTCCTCTATTTTTTGTAAGTACTTGTTTAGTATTGAAATTATTTTTTCTTAAAGAAGATATTTTCTTTCATATTGGAAGACATCTTTCTAAACTTTGCAGCTGTGTTGACTTTCACTTCTACATGATTTCTTTTTTCTTCTTCTCCTTTTTTTCTTTTGAGATGCCATCTTACTCTGTCACCCAGGCTGGAGTGCAGTGGCGTGATCTTGGCCCACTGCAACCTACGCCTCCTAGGTTCAAGTGATTCTCCTGCCTCAGCCTCCCAAGTAGCTGGGATTACAGGCACACGCCACCATGCCCGGCTAATTTTTGTATTTTTAGTAGAGATGGGGTTTCACTATGTTGGCCAGGCTGGTCTCAAACTCCTGACCTCAGGTGATCCACCCACCTTGGCCTCCCAAAGTGGTGGGATTACAGGTGTGAGCCACTGCTACTGGCCACTACTACGTGATTTCTAACAACCTGTTTGGATTCAATATTCTTCTTGCACAACTATCTGTCCTTTAGGAATAATGTGACAGTAAGAGTGAAAGTGCAAAAATATAGTCAGTTGTTTCATATCATTCACTAAAAGTAATTGTTCTCATGCATGCATTTGGGAGCAGTCATCTTAAGAAAAGTTTACTACAGTCAAATGTGTCTGAAAGACATTGTTCATTATATCTCTTTCTCAGAAGGCAGAACACATGTAGTACATTAGAGACGTCACAAGGTCCTGAAGAAATGAATTTAACTTTGTATAACCCAAAGGTTTCCAATATATTTCTCCTAGAATTCTTTTTACTTGCACAATACATTTTAAAATCACTCAGAAACGAATGCTCCATGTACAGCAGTTTGAAAAAGCATGGACTAGAAAGTACTGAGACTGAAATTCATTAAGCTAGAAAAGAGTTTAATAAAATAGCTTCTCCCAAATCATTTCAGGGCTGCTCCATTTCAGCAACATTTCTAATCTTTAGCTATATTCCTTGGTGATGTTTTACAGTATGATGTCCAAATTGCATGCATTTTAAATTTCCATAAAGTGAATCTTAGTCATTTTCCTTGTAGAAAATTAACAGACTAAAATTAATTGTTCATCAATCCGGAGTCTTCCTCCCACTCCTTCTCTCCTCAATGAAAGAAGAAGGAGCTGGAAATGGCATGTTTCTTAACTGATTATCTCAACTTTAATCATCCTCTGCACTGGAAGGTCTGATGCCCACAAGATACTTTCACTGTTTTCAGTTATGAAGAATGGTCATTTGTATAATTTTGCTGGAGAAAAATTGCTTCTATATACAAAACCCAAGGAAGAATATTGCATCTGTAATATCTAAATACATAAGTAACCTCTTTTTGTCCTAGAATCTTAAAAATTGGCCTTTTTTGATTTCCAACTTTTAATTTCAGGGGCACATGTGCAGGATGTGCAGGTTTGTTACATAGGTAAACATGTGCCATTGTGATTAGCTGCACAGATCATCTCATCACCTAGGTATAAAGCCCAGCATCCATTAGCTATTCTTCTTAATGCTCCACCCTTCCACAGGCCCCAGTGCGTGTTGCTCCCCTCAATGTATCCATGTGTTCTCATTATTCATCTCCCACTTATAAGTGAGAAGATGTGGTATTTGGTTTTCTGTTCCTGAGTTAGTTTGCTGAGGAAAATGGGTTCCAGCTCCATCCATGTCCCTGCAAAGGGCATGATCTTGTTCCTTTTTATGGCTGCATAGTATTCCATAGTGTATATGTACTACATTTAATTTATCCAGTCTAACATTGACAGGCTGGATAAAGCCACAATTTGCAATTTTTTGATAAGAGTTTTCTCCTCAATTCCTTCCTAATTTTACAAATTTATAAAAATGAGTTCTAGCATAGATTTTTAAAATTCACAATCTGTTTGAAATTACCAAATACATTTATCAACTTTCAATCAAGGTGAACAGATTATTCTAATGAATTTTTTTTCTCTAAGTCTCTGCACATTTTTCTCTCTGAGGAAGAACAATTATGTCAGGCTTCTGACAAGCTTATGACTGACAATTGATTAATATTATTTTTAGTGTGTTTCCAATGCTGGTCTATGATGTGTTCTGTCATAGAAACTTTACTTTTCTATATCTTCAGATCTTTTTTCCACAATCAAGAATAGATACTTTGGGATTTTATTTATTGCACACCTAGTAAACTGGCTAATCTGGTATCTTCATAGGTTACGCATATCTAATTTAAGGGATAGTACTTGTTTCTTTCATGCAATGAAGACTGCAAGAATATTATATATTTTTAAAATTCTTGTATGTTTTTAATTGATGAAAAATGTCTAATTAATTATGTATAGATTGCAAACTGAATTACTGTAAACTCCTTAAGGGTGTCAACTGTATAACCTTAGCAGTCAAGCAGAATGCTGGGCACATTTAAATGGCTCAACAAAAGTGTCAACAGATGATAAAGGAAGGATGATTTTCTGAAAAAAATATTACCAGTATTGCAACCTTGTGCCATATCATGCATCACTGGGCATTAAGAGACAAATGAGAAAGCTGGGATTGAAATATTAAAGAGATATTAAGAATTGACATCATTGTCCAAGCAAGAGAGTATATTCAAGTGGAAGTAGGATATTAGGCAAGAATTATATTTAGTAATCGCAAATATAATTCAAGATAGCAAGGGCTACAGCCAACAAGCAAGGCAGTCAGATTGACATTTCTTTAGCCATTTTTCTTAATTTCCAGACAAATATAAATCCATCCTTTTTGATCATGGTTGGAACTCACTGTTTTTTTAAATTGCATGAAGTTGTGGTATCCTACAATTTTATAACAGTCTTTGTTTCTAATACACCACTTTCAAGCTTTCAATGATTTGCAAATGAAGAGACTACATATATTTCTTTTGACAGTGTCTGAAGTGTTGGTATAATGCTTAACAGGAGTCCCTCATCAAGTGACTATTTTACATAATTGAATTATCTAACTAGAATCAGAGGTGAAAAGCTATGACACAGTGAAATGTGAAATTATTTTGCAGATCATAAACAGCTTTGCAAGTATGCAATACCATCATTATGAGTTCAGCAATCTGTCAAAGAAAATATTAATACTGGCAAAGAATTTACCTACAGGGTAACAGAAAATGAATACTTCTTATTGATCATGTTTCTAGCAAATTATTAAAACAGCATAATTCAGAGCATCAGGCACAAACTAATTTTGTGAATAAAGGCCCTTAGGCCACATCCTCTCTATTAAGGAAAGCTGGCCAACATTCCAGATGTACGGTTAGTTTTTAATGGGAGGGTGGTGTGAGTAAGTGGGGGATCCTGTCTCAAAGAAGTCAAGTGACATTACCCGACACTCATGCATTGACCTTCCATGAGTGGCATGGTATTGTATTTATTATAAAATGGCAGCAGGTTTTCTGAGATTAAGTAGAAAAATTGGTAAGTATTTAACTACTATCTAGTGACACAACTCTTTAAAAACATCAAATAGAGAACTGAGGCCAGAAAAATAGCAATAAAAAGTCAGTTTGAAAATTTTAAAAAAATCTTCAAATAAACAGCATGAAAAGAAGGAAACTGGGAAAATAAAATCTGAGATATACTGAGTAAAATACCTTTGGATTGAGTAGAGCTATTAGCGGGAAAAAAATAAGGCAAGAATTTGAATGAAGCTCATAAGAACTGAAATGCTTGGTTTTAAAAGTTGAAAAAAGAGGCCTTTTAAAATATTCTTAGGTAGCTGATTATGAATTAAAGAGGAAACATCACATTGAATCTAAGACTTTCTCTTTATAAAGGGAATGAAAGCTTAGCAGATTAATATTAATGAACAAACTGAATGAATGAATAAATGAATGAATGCCTACTCTCTATACACAGGTGTAATTTTAATTAGCTGTAAGAGTTAACTTGTCAAGGCCTGTGAGATTGTAAACTAGTTGAAATTGTTAGGCTTCCTCTCCATCCTTTTTTTCAAGGCCTATTTTTCCCTTATCCATTGTATGTGACTTTTAAAAAAAAACAGACTTATCCTGAACTTTCAAAAATGCAACTAAATAATAAACTCACTCATGATTTCTTCATTCAATAAATATATTTTGAGTATCTATCATGACCTGACACTGTTTCAGGTGTCTGTAATTTAACAGTGAGAAAAACAGATAGGATATCTGACCTCATGGAGCTCATAGCTTAGTCTAGGAATTGTATATAAAATAAATAATTTCCTAAATGAATATATAAGTATATAATTATAAACCATCATGTGTACTGTATTAGTCAGAGTTCTCCAGAAGGACAGAATTAATGGAATAAAAGAGTTTCTTAGGTATTTAATGAGTTTATTAAGTATTAACTCACACGATCACAAGTTCCCACAATAGGCCTGCTGCAGGCTGAGGAGCAAGGAGAGCCAGTCCAAGTTCCAAAACTGAAGAACTTGGAGTCTGATGTTCAAGGGTAGGAAGCATCCAGCATGGGAAAAAGATGTAGGCTGGGAGGCTTTCACATTTTCTGCCTGCTTTATAATCGCTGGCAGTTGATTAGATGGTGCCCATCCAGATTAAGTGTAGGTCTGCCTTCCCCAGCCCACTGACTCAAATGTTAATCTCCTTTGGCAGCACCCTCACAGACACACCCAGGATTAATAGTTTGCATCCTTCAGTCTCATCAATTTGACACTCAGTATTAACCATCACATGTGCTATGGAACAATATGATTTCTGTGAGAACATATGACTGGGTTGGTTAGGGAAGACTTTCATAAGAATATAGTATCTGAGAGAGAGCTGAAGAATTAGCAGATAATAACTATTTGGGGAAACAGGCATTCATAATAATTTATGGAGAGTGTTTTAGGCCAAGGGCACAAAGAGTAGGGCCTAAGAAGCATGTTAAAATACTTGCTTATTAATGAATTATATTGTATTTTCTCAAGGATTGTTTTTATTTTAATGGAGAACTTTTCCCCTTCTTTGACTGTATTATAAGTGATCTAACAAATTTTTCTCATTATAATTCAAGCAGCTTAGAATTATACATGTTAAAAATATATAATAAAATGCATAATTATATACATTATTTTATAATTGTGAGTGGAAAATCGTTATCTCAATTTCCTAAAAATACTTATTATTGCATTGTTATGCATTAAGACATAAATTTCATACATGTGCACACACACTTTATTTTCTCTAAAATGGTTTCATACTATATGCAGCAATTTGCAACTTGCTTTTTTACTTAACAGTATGACTTGAACACTTTCCCTGCCAGTATGTATAGTCATTATTCATCTATTTTATGTACACATGTCATTCATATACATATGATATGTGAATATATAAATTCATAAATGTTAATACGTATGATACATGAATTCATATATAGTATATATGTGATGTGTGAGATATTGTTACATATATACTGACTATATCATGATTTCTATAACCACTGTTGTATAAATGCACATCTAGATTGTTTACAAGGTTTTTTTATTTTGGGTGATGCAGCCAAACATATTCTTGCACACAAAAGTTTTTGGATCTGTATGAGTAATTTTTTAGAAAAAAGTTTCTGGAATTAGAATTACAGCTTCAAAGTACAAATTTTAAAAATTTGACAGCTATTATAACCAAATTCTATTCCTTTACAAGAAGACTTTTTATTAGCTAAAATGTACAAGGATAGCTTGTACATTTTCTGCACACTTGACAAACTAAATATAATTATCTTTAAACTTTTAACAGAGGGCTCTGAAATCGGAAGCATCTTCTGTACAAAATTGACTGCTTTTATAATTCAGTAGGTAGTATCATTGTTTGGATCAGGATATACAAAAAATAAAAAGTGGTAGGTATTGTGCCAAAGTAGAGAGGGCTTGCCTAGTATGGAGACATTCAAATTCGAATCCAAATACCACCACAGCCAAATGCAATATAGACCTGGGCTGGAGTCCATCAGCTGGAACTCACAGAAGTAAAGAGTCTCAAGAAGAAGATAACTGGTCCCAATTGTTCATTGTCCTTAAATCATTACAATTGGCTGTCCATCCAACATCTCATATACAGAAGGTGGGCTTTGTCTCTGAATCAGGCTGCTACACCCACAAATATGAAAATTCCTTGTTAAGAATTGCGAGGTTGGAATTTCACTTGCTGACATCTTAGAATGTGGTAAATTTTTTCTTACTCCTAGAGCAGTCAATCAACATAATAGAGGAAAAATAATACATATTTAAAGGGATCTATTATGCTTCAATTAAATTGCATGTTCAATAATGAAACAAATGGCCAGGTGCGGTAGCTCACACCTGTAATCCCAGCACTTTGGGAGGCCAAGGAGGGCGGATCACTAGGTCAGGAGTTAGAGACCAGCCTGGCCAACATGGTGAAACCCTGTCTCTACTAAAAGAATACAAAAATTAGCTGGGCAGGGTGGTGTGCCCCTGTAATCCTAGCTACTTGGGAGCCTGAGGCAGGAGAATTGCTTGAACCCAGGAGGCCGAGGTTGCAGTGAGCAGAGATTGCACCACTGCACTCTGGCCTGGGCGACAGAGCAAGACTCGGTCTCAAAAATAAAATGAAATAAAAGAAACAAACACTTTAATAATACTTACTCTGTATAATGCTTTGTACAGATCCAGCATATTAACTAAGAAAATGGATTAATTACCTTTCCAGTAAAATTCCATGAAACTGATGAGTTTTTAAAAATTCTATTCCTTTTTGTTTTGTAGAAACATAATATAATGTTTCAAATGACGGTGTTCTGTCTTATGAATTGATTGAATTCAATTCATTCAAAACATTGAAAAGTAGGACTGTTTTGTAGATTATTTGAAAAAAATTACTTTCAATGCATGAATGTTTTCCCAGCCTAGAACATTCCCTCTCTATTGTTCCCAAACCTAGTCCAAACTACATCATTGACATATTTGAAAGCCATAAGTATGAGGAACAGCTGGACAAGTTACTGATCTCAATGAATACATTTTCCTGCTTTGCACCCCAATTCTTTCCCTGTTGAGGAGCCTTAAAAATTTTCTTAGCCAGAGGAAGTAAGAGATAAAATTTAATTTTCTCCATCTCAGCATATCTACTTTAATGAGCTCCCCAGGCTTCTTTCTAGATTTGCCTAGATAACTGGATAATAACAAGATTAAAAAAATTTTACCTGTGGATAAAATCATAAAATTGGTAAAATTGGATGGGAGAGTCACCTGTAGGGGCAGTGTTAACTTCAAAGTCAGTGGGTGGGTCTGTGTTGCCAATTCATCTCAGCCATTTGTGGATGACTTCTGGTCAACTAATAAAAACTGGTTTGTTGTGTGCATTAGATGAGATAGAATGTGTACGGCACCCAGCACTGGGCCAGCACATAGCTATTAATAAATGTTACTGGATAGGAAAAGATTAAAACAATTTTTTTTGTTTCTTTCTTTCTCTTCCCTGTGGATAACCACAGTGGTTCTGACTCCCTATGCAACTGCTCCATTTTCCCTCTCCACTTTCTATGCAGCCTTTTGAAAGAATGGACTTCTCAGTGGGAACTGGTCTTCTGTGAAAGATTCATGAGGACTGCATTCAAAACAACTTTATACCCATGCTTTCAATCTGACACATTGTTTCACTTGACAAATCTCTCCTTTTACCACTCATATTGTTTGATATGGATCATCATTATCATCATCTTCTGCAAGTTTGGAGAATCTCCTAACCTCTCTCCTATCCCCTCCAACCAACTAAAAAGCAGCTTCTGGCAGGCTAAAAAGTCAGGTGATCATGTCCATATTAAAATGGTGGTTATCTGTTTGACAGACCTATGGAGCTCAACATGCACAGCAGTATTCCAGTGTAAAGTGGAAATGGTGCATATGTGATTAGATCTGAGCAAATCCAGAAGGTAGAAAAATAAAAGCAGATGACTCAAACTGTCATGGTATTACTTTCTACTGCTTCATTGCTTCTCCCTCCACTCGTATCTTTGAAGTAGGACTAGTTTTTATCTGTAACTGTATTGTATATTAGCAGAGTTGATCCAGGAAGTAGTGAGGAAATCCTTTAAATAGCGCTTTAGATTGTGCCTTTGGTCATTTACTTCAAGTGGGCAGAAGGCCTGAGATACAAATCTACAGATTTAAGAACAGAGGCTAATATATTGCTCAAATGGTCAAGAATATGGAAAGAACAAATATTGTAAACTTTACAAGGGATGAGGGGTATATAGTAAGGGTATAGAGAGTGTGATGAGATCTATATCCCATACAAATGTTTATCAGAGGTCTACAACTGACTAGAGGGGTCTCCAAGGCACTCTTTCCAGATTTTCCTTCAGGTTTGGGGCCTCATTCCCCCAACTACTGGTCATGTTGGCCACCACTGATAAATCATGGCTGTTTCCTTCTCTTAGAATTACCCTGAATGATAAGAACTGACTCACTCAAGGATGGCTTCCCTGTCCAGGGGCAGACCACATTCAATTACTAGTAAATGTAGAGGTAAAGCCCCACCCCTCACCTTAATGTAATTTCACTTTGAAAGCCCCCAAATAAAGAGCTCCCTGTGGAATCAACTGAGGCTTCTGCTTAAATTGTACTGTTTTTTCCTTTTAGAGTTACCAAAGCAGGCTGGGTATGGTGGCTCATGCCTGTAATCCCATCACCTTTGGAGGTCAATGCAGGCAGATCACTTAAGGCCAGGAGTTCAAGACCAGCCTGGCCAACATGGTGAAGCCCCATCTCTACTAAAATACAAAAATTAGCCAGCTGTGGTGGCACGCACCTGTAATCCCAGCTACTTGGGAGGCTGAGGTAGGATCGCTTGAGCCCAGGAGGTGGAAGTTGCAGTGAGCTGAGATTGTGCCACTGCACTCCAGCCTGGGCAACAGAGCCAGACCCTATCTCAAAAAAAATTATCAAAACAAAACTCCCACAGATAAGAATAACTCTTAAATATTCCCTAAGAGTTTCATTTCTTTGTTTGTATTATTCCATTTCAAGTTAACAAATAACAAGTATATTTGATAATTTGATTGATTATGGACAGATGTGTCTCAAATTTGAGTAAGGCTGATCTAATGGCTCAAAAGACATGTGGCTACCTATAAATGAATAGCCTTTTATTTATGAATTGTAACATAATTTGTAAGGACTTGTTTTCCAGAGTTGGCAAAAAAAACAAGAGAAGTTTTAAACATGACTTAAGGGAGGTTGTCGCCAATGCAGTAAGAAATGTTGATTCCAATCTGACTGAGAATTAGAGATCATAAATATCCATCTGGCTACTCGGAAAGTTGAGCTATTTACCTTTTAGCTGTCATCATCCGTGATGAACATTCCCAGGACTTCAGACAAGCATTTGCATTATTAGTGTTAGGACAGACTCTCAGAGCTTCTGAGATCCAGACAATTGTCACATGTGTATGAAGAAAGATTAAAAAATTAACTGAAGAAGGATTTTATGAAAGAGAGTGAAAGGAATGTCAGCTACCACTATTTAAGATGCTTTTTAAGGATGTTCCTTTCTTTCTTTGACTCTGTATTGGAGCCAAAAATTTTCTGTATGAGGGTGTTTTATGATGGTTGCTACAGTTCCAGATCACATTCCAGGCATAAAGTCCTGGAAATGTTCATTGCACATGGTGCACCTTAGGGAGCTCATGGGAGGGATTCTCACTCTGTATTAACTTATACTATTGTATTTATTTATTTAACTTTTAAGTTCAGAGATGCAGGTTTGTTACACAGGTAAACTTGTGTCATGGGGGTTTGTTGTACAGATTATTTTATCACCCAGGTATTAAGCCTAGTAGCCATGAGTTATTTTTCCTGATCCTCTCCCTCCTCCCACCCTCCAGATTTTTTTTTTTTTTTTTTTTTTTTTGATATGGAGTCTTGCGCTGTTGCCCAGGCTGGAGTGCAGTGGTGTGATCTTGGCTCACTGTAAGCCCCACCTCCTGGGTTCACGCCATTCTCCTTCCTCAGTCTCCTGAGTAGCTGGGACTACAGGCACCCGCCACCATGCCTGGCTAATTTTTTGTATTTTTTTAGTAGAGATGGGGTTTCACTGTGTAAGCCAGGATGGTCTCTATCTCCTGACCTCATGATCCGCCTGCCTCGGCCTCCCAAAGTGCTGGGATTACAGGCATGAGCCACCACGCCCGGCCCCACCCTCCACATTTTGAAAGGCCGTAGTGCGTGTTGTTTCCCTCAATGTGCCCATGTGTTCTCATCATTTTGTTCCCACTTATAAATGAGAGCAAGCAGTATTTAGTTGTCTGTTCCTGTGTTAGTTTGCTGAGGAAGTGGCCTCCAGTTCCATCATTCTTTTTTATGGCTGCATAGTATTCCATGCTGTATGTTTAGCACATTTTCTTTATCTAGCTTACCATTATGGGTGTTTAGCACAGAGCTCCCAGAGGAAGGGGCAGGCTACATTATTTATTAGATAAAGGATTTTATAAGATTTTCCACAAAAATCAGAGCATAGTACTATTTCAGAAGTTCATAATATTTTTATATAAAGATTTTTCTTCCACCAACAGGATGTAAGATGCATGATGGATGCCTGCATGAGTAGTTGTCCACATTCAAGGTGTTTGTTATAGTTTTTTGAGTTACATGAGGGATGGTTATCACTTATCATTTGGCATGATGTTACAAAATTCTAGCTACAGTGGATTAAACAAAAAGGAATTTATTTTTGCATAATGTAAGAATTTTTTGAGGCAAGTAGTCCAGGTCTAAGATGGCAGTCCAATGAGAACATCCATATTTTAGTCTTCCTATAGCTTTATCCTCTTGGTATGTGGCTTTTATTCTGATGATTTTATGATAGTTGCTACAATTCCAGACCACATTGCAGGCATAAAGAAAACTGAAGAAACAAGAAAGAGCATGAAAATTTTGTTTTAGTAATACAAAACGTTTCCAGGAACCCTGAGTAGAATATGGCTTATATCTCATTGAGCAACAATGTGTCACATGGTGATATGGTTTGGCACTGTGTCCCTACCCATATCTCATCTGGAATTGTAATCTGAATTGTAACCCCCAAGTGTCAAGGGAGGGACATGGTGGGAGGGGATTGGGTCATGGGGGTGGTTTCTCTCATGTTGTTCTCATGATAGTCAGTGAGTTTTCACGAGATCTGGTTGTTTGGTAAGTGTCTGGTGTGTCCCCTGAGCTCTCTTTCTTGCCTGTTGCCATGTAAGATATGTCTTGCTTCCCCTTTGCCTTCTGCCATAATTGTAAGTTTCCTGTGGCCTCCTCAGCCATGCAGAACTGTAAGTCAATAAAGCCTCTTCTTTATAAATTACCCAGGCTCAGGTAGTATCTTTATAGCAGTGTGGAAATTGACTAATACAGAGAATTGGTACCAAAGTGGGGTACTGCTATAAAGATAACATGAAAATGTGGAAGTTACTCTGGAACTGGGTAACAGGCAGAGGCTGGAACAGTTTGGAGGTCTCAGAAGAAGACAGGAAGATGTAGGAAAGTTTGGAACTTCCTAGAGATTTGTTGAATGGTTTTGACCAAAATGCTGATATTGTTATGGACAATGAAATCCAGGCTGAGGTGGTCTCAGATGGAGATGAGGAACTTACGTTTAAATGGGAAGCAGAATATAAAAGTTTGGAAAATTTGCAGTCTGGCCATGTGGTAGAAAAGAAAAACCCCATTTTCTGAAGAGAAATTCAAGTTGGCTATAGAAATTTGCATAAGTGATGAACCAAATGTTAATAGCCAAGACAATGGGGAAAATGTCTCCAAGGCATGTCAGAAATCTTCACAGCAGCCCCTCCCATCACAGGCCTGGAGGCCTAGGAGGAAAAAATGTTTTTGTGGGCCAGGCACAGGGCCTCACTGCTCTGTGAGCCTCAGGACTTGGTGTCCTGTGTTCCAGGCCCTCCAGCTCAAGCCATGGCTAAAAGGTGACACAGTACAGCTCAAGCTATCACTTCATAAGGTGCAAGCCCAAAGGCTTGGTAGCTTCCACATGGTGTTGGGCCCGCGAGTGCATAGAAGACAAAAGTTGAGCTTTGGGAGCCTCCACCTAGATTTCAGAGGAGGTATGGAAATGCCTGGATGTCCAGGCAGAAGTCTGCTGCAGAGGTCCCTCACGGAGAACCTCTGCCAGGGCAGTGCAGAAGGGAAATGTGGGGTTGGAGACCCTATGCAGAGTACTTACTGGGGCACAGCCAAGTGAAGCTGTGAGAAGAGGGCCACCATCCTCCAGACCCCAGAATGGTAGGTTCACTGACAGTTTGCAGTGTGCCCTGGAAAAGCCACAGGCATTCAACGCCAGCCTGTGAAAGCGGCTTTAGGGGCTGTATCCTGAAAAGCCACATAGGCGAAGCTGCTCAAGGCCATGGGAGCCCACCTTTTGCATCAGCATTCCCTGCATGTGAGATATGGACTCAAAAGAGGTTATTTCAGAGCTTTAAGATTTAATGACTGCTTTGCTAGGTTTTGGACTTGCATGGGGCTGGTAAACCTTTTGTTTTGTCCCATTTCTCCCATTTAGAATGGGAACATTTACCCAATGCCTGTACCCCCATTGTATCTTCAAAGTAAATGACTTGTTTTTTATTTTACAGGCTTATAGGTGGAAGGGACTTGACTTGTCTTACGTGAGACTTTGGACTTGGACTTTTCAGTTAAGGTGCTGGAATGAGTTAAGACTTGGGGGACTGCTGGGAAGGCATGATTGGTTTTGATATGTGAAAATAACATGAGATTTTGGAGGGTCAGGGTGGAATAATTTGGCTTGGCTCTGTTTCCCCACCCAAATCTCATCTGGAATTGTAATCCCCACATGTTGAGGTAGGGACCTGGTGGGAGGGGATTGGATCATGGGGTGATTCCCTCCATGCTGTTCTTGTGATAGTGAGTGAATTTTCATGAGATCTGGTTGTTTGATAAGTGCCTGGTGCTTCCCCTCTGCTCTCTCTTGTGCCTGCTGCCATTTAAGACATGACTTGGTTCCCCTTCACCTTCTGCTATGACTGTAAGTTTCCTGAGGCTTCCCTAGCCATGCAGAACTGTGTCAGTTAGTCAGCTAAACCTCTTTTTTAAATAAGTTACCCAGTCCCAGGTAGTATCTTTATAGTAGTGTGAAAACAGACTAATACACATGGCCACATAGATGCAAGAGAGGCTGATAAATGTTGATTTTAGTTGGCATATTGAGAGTATGTATAAAGTCTGTAAAAATGAAAGGGAGTATAGATATTAGGTAGGCAATAGTGGTTCTGACAAAATGGATTTTCACTTCTAAGTACATCACTACTATTTTACCTTTCTTCCTCAAACTATGCCCACCATTGCTAGATTTTATGGACTTACATCATTGTCTACTTAAACACCAAAAAGTTGGTGATGCAGTTTTCTACAGTAATTTTTTGCATATAGGCAGAGTTAGAGTATGTGTAAATATCTCTCTAGGTGCCCATTTTTATGAGAGGAGCCACTTTCAATGAAGAGGTTGCCAAATTATCTCCTTAACAGAACTGCCAAATGTGTAATAGTGATTTAAAATGAACAAATTATTATGTTAAGAATGATTCCCTATTAGATAACCTTGAAAACTCACCTTTTGATTAATGTCATGCAAATAAAATCATTCTTTAAACCAGAGAAATTATCTTTACCATATATGTTGCATGGCTATTTTTTTAAAATTACAATTTTTTATAACTGATAAAATTCAGCTTGGTGAGAGCAATTTTAATTCCCCTGTATTTCAGTCACAAAAGTGATATCTCTGGCTTCATTAGCAGTGGAATTACTTGCTCTTCTTATGACTTAATTTCTTGCTGAATTTCACAGGCATGCTCTTCCTACAGAGGAAAGTTACAAAGAACAAACTTCCCAGATGGCTAAATTTCATTGAAAAAGAGTCATCTAGGAATAGAACAATTTGAAAAGAAGTTCAATATTTGTTTACTGCCACCATCAACTCCTTCTGTCAGACAAAAATGTAAAAAAGTCAAATGAAAGCTTATGACATTCTCAAATTAAAAAATGAGTGTGTTATTGATTTCTTATTTACAAAAAAAATCAGCAAAATGTTGTAACTGAAATTATCTAATTTTAAAATTGGCTCATTTCTATTAATCAAGTAGAAAAGTTTTTGATGTGTCTAGATGGATATTTAGCAGTAGATTACCATGTGGACAGTTGGACAGTTTTTCTTTTTTTTTAACTAATGCATTAGAATGTATTTGTTGTTGTTTTGTTATTGTTAAGCCAAGTGTTATTTAAAAGTACAGAAGAATGGTAGCACACTAAAAACTGTAGCAGGGGATAAAGGTAGAAAAAAGACATTTTAGTTGAATTTTGATTTACATTGTGCTTAATAAGCAATCTAAATTCACCCAGACTTTTTTTTAGTCATTTCAGGATATTGAATGGCAAAGTATTAAGCTGAAGAGAAAGATTAATATTTGAAAACAGCATTTTTACACTGTAAAGTTTTGAACAAAAAGAAATAACCTAGAAAATCACGTTTTCCAGGGAACTTAAAATTAACCCAGAAAATTAAATAAAATTTACCACTTGGTTTCTCCCTCCCTTAATATCTTTTAAATTCATTAATGGTCCAATAGATGTTGTAATTAAGGTCATCCAAGTAACTTGTCAACTAAGACGTTTTGCTGGGGGTAATCTTCATTGTCAAAAGGAAATAATTGATTGAAATAGCCATTGAGATAATTAACACACACAGACAGATATGCAGTGTAAAAAAATGCCCTTGCCCTTGGTGCTAACCTTGTTGGATAAGTTGAGTGGGTTTTTAATTCTTTCTGATTGCCGTGTTTGTTTTTCTAGACTTATTCAGTTATATTAATTCTTTGCTTTGGTTTGAGAATTCCAGCTTCTCGGTGCAATGTTTGTGTATACATGCATTTTCTACTTAGTGAAAAAAAAAATGGGAGCATGAGTAAATGCTTGTGAAGAAGCAAAACAAAATAAAAACTAATGTTTTGTTTTTTTTCTATTTGCCATATTGTCTGATCAAAAAATTCTACTAGCAACTTTATGAAAAAATGAAATGTCACTATGAAATAAATTGATGGGATTATATTTATCTAAGAATTATAAGCATTCTCATTTAATGGTTTGTCAATTTTCTGCCATGTAAACCAGGTACTCAGAAAAGAAGTTTTTCCTTAACAAAATCAAACATTTTATAAAGTTTGTATTCAGTGTTTCTCTAACCCCTTTCTGTCCTAACTTAGTACTCTCGCATTCTTTTTGGGTGCCTTTCATACCATAATCTCATATCTTCTTCTGCTTTCTGTCTACCAAGCAACCCCCACAGTAGAGGCTCTTCCTAGTAGGGATTTCATAAATATTCATTGAATAAATGATTGTGGGGGTAGTTTTCTGACCTTCAGTTATAGCAAAATTGTGGGATCTTGAATTCAGAAGCTGGAACAAAGGATGCCTGATTGTGGTGGAAATAGGAGTCCCCTTGGTGGGCTGGTTTTACAGTATGGTCCTGGAAGTATTTCTGGAAGTACACCATAGAGAAGTTCTTTAATTCTACCAATAATTTTGAAAACACCCTATTCCTGGTACAAAACTCTTTGTTGTTTAAAATAGCCAGAGCGTTTTCTGTTACAGTGAGTCAATAAAGTACTTGATACCAAAAGACATTACAAGCAACAGACCTCAAGTTTGTGATAAGAGATTTATTATTTGATCTAGTTAGATAAGAAGGCAGTGAGGAGCAGGTTAACATTAGACAGGAAACATTTTTAATCCATGACTCCAATCATTAAAATATTGAGAACAGATCAAATGATGGTTGCTCTAGCATATCACAATGGGCATAAGTTATACAAGGACTATAGAGTGAGATAGTTCCAGAAACCTCTATTGGAGTGTAAATGATAGAATCAGAGCTTTAAATTCTATACTCAAGGCACCAGAGATTTTCTATGACTATTCCTAAAATAATTTCTTATAGCCACTGGGTTTATGTAGATATTTCTCAGGCTTAGAATCTGATTTTTTTATTTCTGGAATTTTAACATAGACCAGGTTTACAGTCTCAGTGTGTTTCTTCTGAAAGTTAGGATTTATTTGGAAAAAATAGAATATTATGATATGGAATACGGCATTTTGGAGGCTTCACGTATATCTCAGTTCCTCAAACTCCAAAATTTCCCAGAACTTTTCATATCAATAGAATCGATCCCTCTTCATTGGTTTCATGACCTGGTTTCACTGGTTTCAAAAGACTCTGCACTAAATTCATGAGCTTATTATCTTGCAGGCAAATGCAAATTCTCATTTCTGATCCCTGTCACCTCTCACTGTCCTCTTCTATAACTAGAGTCAGAATGCCCTACAATTGTAAATTTAAACCTCAGAGGAAAGGGTTACACATTAAAAACTTTGTAAAACTTTAAAAACTTATATCAGCCCAAATCTGGAAAGCTTGTGGTGCAATAGACACTGAGGGTACTTTACCAGGGAGAGGAAAACATGGCTAAATGTATTAATTTGGAGCTCTTAAAAAATGTTATACCCTCTGCTTGAGTAGCTGAGAGAAGCTTGGATTGTTGACTAAAACTAGACTAAATGGGAGCCTGTATTGAATGAAGCTTGGGAGTCTAGAAATTATTATGTATAAGGTAGAGAAAGTAATCTAAATATTTAGAAAGAAAAGGCCCACAGGTTTTTTTTTTTTTTTTCATCAAAACACTAAGAGATAAATTGACAAGGAAGGCACTACCTTTCTTAAATAATTCTGTAGTGGCTGTATTTTTCTAGACTTAAAAAGAAGAAAAAGGTAGGAGAAGCTGCCAATAAAATGAACTCCTGATTTCAATAAAGAAGTTAACTTAATTACTACTGACTAAGTGAGCATGGTTACCAAGATAAGATATGACCCAAGAAATCAGAATGGTTTGAATTTAACCAAACTTTGAAGATAGTTAATCGATCATGCAATATCTAGGACTGAAAAAGATGAGGAGTCTACAAAGTTCTCTAATGGGAGAGTAGCCAGGAACACTTGGGGAAGACCTATTACATATACATATACATATACATATACATATACATATACATATACATATTTCAAATATTTCTCTTGTCCTTCTGCAAACCTGTAGCCAAAGTAATATTGGACTGGGTAAAGTGATAGACCCAGGCTTTTATACATATATGTATATATGTATCATTTTTTTCTGAAAATAGAAAGCTGATGAACAGTTTCAGAATGCCATTGAGGACTACCAATCAAAGAAAAGTGAGGAAATTAAATTATTCAGGTAAATGGAGTTTTGAACCCAATCTACATTTTACAGTGGGCCTGGTAGATCTGGAAAAAAGTTTTTGTGGTTATTTACTTAGCTGCTGATTTCATATCAGGAATAAATATATTCAGCAACAGCATCACCACATTGCCTCTTGAACTAGTAAAGGCTCTTACAGTAAAAAAATGGCCAGCTCCTAGAATATTCTATTTTTACTCAAAAAGTACATCAAAGTCAATATCTGTTCCCTGGAGGGAACCAGAGAGATTAGTGGCAACATCAACGTCTTAAAAGATGCATGTAAAAATAATATTTTTATATACCCACTTAAATTGACAATTTGACCTGTACAGAAGATAGGAAAATCTTGTAGGACAGTAGATTAAAATACACTTTATCAGGAGATGGCTACAATTGCAGATGCTCTTTCACATGTGGTATATTTGGAAAACAAAGTAAATATAGCTGATGGTGTCTATGTGACTTCATGTGAATTTTTTCTCTGAGTTAATAAACATTTTACTTTTACTTTATTAGTACAGCAGTATGCTTTCTTCATCCTGCCTTAGGGTTATAGCAACTTTCCACCTCTGCTAATTGTACTGTCTAAGGAATGTAATCATTTTGCCATACTTCTGAGGATCATGTTTATCAATTACATGGATGATATCATGTTATAGTTCACTGGTGAGGAGAACATAGCAAGATGAGTTGATAAAACATGTGAAAAAGGGGTTACAAGTAAATTCTATGCATGATATGTTGGGAATTGATAACTTTATAATTCAGTTTAAAAGTTGGCAAACTTTTTCTATGAAGAATTAGATAGTAGCTTTTCCACAACATGTTTGCCTCCAGAACACATGCTGCTAAAACCACCCCTAAAAGCCAAAATGCAAAGGAAGAGATTCTTAACAGCATTATTGTTATTGGACACATAGATCTGGGAAAGTCCATGACTACTGGCCATCTGATCCCCAAATGTGATTGTATCAACAAAAGAACCATTTAAAAATTTTAGAAGGAGGCTGCTGAGGTGCAAAAGTGTTCCCTTAAAGGTGTCTGGGTCTTAGATAAACTGAAAGCTGAGCATGAATGCGATATCACCATTGAAATCTCCTTGTGGAATTTTGAGATCAGCAACTACTATGTCACTGTCATTGACACCCCAAGAAACAGAGACTTTATCAAAAACATGATTACAGGAGGATCTCAGGCAAATTCAAAGCTGCTGTCTCCAAGGATGAGCCAACCTGTGATCATGCCCTTCTTGGTTACACTGTGGGTGTGAAACAATTGTTGGCTTTAATAAAATGGATTTCGCTGAGCCACCCTATAGCCAGGAGAGATATGAGGAGGTCATTAAGGAAGTCAGCACTTATATTAAGAAGACTGGCTACAAACTTGACATAGTAGCATTTGTGCTAATTTCTGGTTGGAATGTTAATAACGTGCTGGAACTGCGATGGTTAATATTGAGTGTCAACTTGATTGGACTGAAGGATGCAATGTATTGTGTGTCCCTAAGGGTGTTGCTAGAAGAGATTAACATTTGAATCAAGGGACTGGGAGAAGCAGACCCACCCTTAATCTGGGTGGGCACCATCTAATCAGCTGCCAGTGTGGCTAGAATAAAAGCAGGCAGAGAAACGTGAAAGGACTAGACTGGCTAAGTCTTCTGGCCTCCATCTTTCTCCCATAATTGATGCTTCCTGTCCTCTAACATCAGACTCCAAGTTCTTTAGCTTTTGGAATCTTGTACCTACACCAGTGGTTTGCAGGGGCTCCTGGGCCTTCAGTCACAGACTGAAGGCTGCACTGTTAGCTTTCCTACTTTTGAGGTTTTGGGACTTGAATTGGCTTCCTTGCTCCTCAGCTTGCAGATGGCATTTTGTGGAACTTCACCCTGTGATTGTGTGAGTCAATACTCCTTAATAAACTCCCTTTCATATACATCTATATTAGTCCATCTTCACACCGCTGGTAAAGACATACCCAAGACTGGGAAATTTACAAAAGAAAGAGTTTTAATGGATTTATAGTTCCAAGTGACTGGGAGGCCTTACAATCATGGTGGAAGGCAAGGAGGAGCAAGCCACATCTTACACTGATGGCAGCAGGCAAAGAAAGAGAGCTTGTGCAGGAAAACTCCCCCTTATAAAACCATCAGATCTCATGAGACATACTCACCATCATGAGAACAGCACGGGAAAGACCCACCCCCATGATTCAACCACCTCCCACCAGGTCCCACCCACAACATGTGAGAATTCAAGATGAGATTTGGGTGAGGACACAGCCGAACCACATAAACATCTATTCTATTAGTCCTGTCCATCTAGAGAACCCTGACTAATATGAGAACCAAGTGCTCACACGTCTTGTTTCAAGGGATGGAGAGCCACCTGAAAGATGTCAGTACCAGTGGAACTACACTGCCTCAAGCTCTGGACGACCAACTCTTCCAACTAACAAGCCCTTCTATCTGCCTCTCCAAGATGTCTACAAAATTGGTTGTATTGATATTGTCCCTGTGGGCCTAGTGGAGACATGTTCTCAAGCCCAGCATGGTGGTCATCTTTGCTCCAGTCAATGTTACAACTGAAGTAAAGTCTGCTAAAATGCAACATGAATCTTTTGAGTGAAGCCTTTTCTGGGGACAATATGGGCTTCAATGTCAAAAATGTGTCTGTCAAAGATATTTGTTGTGACAATGTTGCTGGTGGCAGCAAAAATGACCTGCAAATGGAAGCAGCTGGATTCACTGCTCAGGTGATTATCCTGAACAAGCCAGACCAAATCACTGGTGGCTATGTCCCTGTACTGGATTGCCACACAGCTCACATTGTTTGCACGTCTGCTGAGCTGAAGGAAAAGATTGAATACTATTCTGGTAATAAGCTGGAAGATGGCCCTAAATTCTTGAAATCTGATGATGCTGCCATTGTTGATATGGTTCCTGACAAGCCCATGTGTGTTGACAGCCTCTCTGACTAATTCTCTTCTGGGTCGTTTTGCTGTTCATGATATGAGATAGACAGTTACTACTGGTGTCATCAAAGCAGTGGACAAGAAAGCTTCTGAAGCTGGCAAAGTCACCAAGTCTACCCAGAAGCCTCAGAAGGCTAAATGAATATTATCCCTAATACCTACCACCCCAATCTTAATCAGTAAAAGAATGACCTCAGAACTTTTTGTTTCAATTGGTCATTTAAGTTTAACAGTAAAAGATTGGTTAATGAAAACAATGCATCAGAAAAGCTTCAGAAGGAAAGGAGAATGTTTTGCGGATCCATTTTTTTTTTTAATGTGTGGTAGTTTTAAGTTATTAGTTTTTAAAATCAGTGCTTTTATTTTATTTTATTTTATTTTGGAGACAGAGTCTCACACAGTCTCCCAGGCAGTGGCATGATCTCGGCTCACTGCAACCTCGCCTCCAGGGTTCAAGCAATTCTCTTGCCTCAGTCTCCCGATTAGCTGAGATTACAGACACCCTAAAATCAGTACTTTTTAATGAAAACAACCAAAAACCTGTCACAGAATTTTGAGACCTGTTAAAACTAAGTTTAATCAGAAAAAAAAGAGTCAGATAGTAATATTAAAAGTTTTGTAGGCCAGGAGACTAAATCAAGAATATTAGATAATCTAAGGATATTAAATAACTAATGTAACAAGAGAGAAAACAAATGTCCATTTTTATTGATGAAATTAAAAAATAATATAACTGAGTACATATTTTGTAATGTAATTGAATAAGAAAAAGTGAATTTTTTTTTTATTTTGGGGGGCACATATTATTTCACTTATTTGATATTCAAAATTAGTGGTTCATATTTCAAAATTGATTAAAAATATTCATCTGTTCATGATAATATGTAATAAGAGTTGGTGTATTTCATCTTTGAAAATGTCTTTTTATACAAATAGTTACTGCCAAATACTGATATAAATCTATGAGCATATGATTTTAACTGAGCATATTCAATGCTTGAGAGGCAGTTATATATTTCTATTAGATTTTTCTCTTGATATTTACCATTTAGCATGTCATTTTATTGCAGATTTATCATTTCTAATCGAAGGTTAAGTGGAAGGTCTGCAATTGCTCAGTCAAGTGGATTCTGAAATACAGATATTTCCTTTGCATTTATATAGAGGTTCCCAAGACACTGCTGGAACTGTAGTTTGATCTTGTAAAATATACCCACTACAACTTTGTATGAGAATGGATTTCTCACTTTTTAAAATCTGATAGCATCGTAAGTATACAAAGTAGCTTAACATTACACGTGATTCCAACAACATTTAGTTGTCATTGAAATAACTTTGCCATAAGTTTTGCATACATGTTGTTTTGGCTTGAAATTTTAGGTTTAATTCATTAAGAAAAATAAATCTGTAGTGAAAACTAAATTCCAAAGCCATTCAGTGTTCAATAATAGTAGTTGAAGGGATTTCTTTTCACTTATAAAGAAATTCATTCTCTGCTTGAACTAAATATGCAATAAAATTTTAAGCCACCAAGATGTTGTATGTTAGGGCATGTTAGGATATTTAACTTCTATTTCTGACAAAAATTCTTGGAAACTGGTGATTGTCAAGTTCTCAAAAGTGATGAAGTTCACTGTTGACACTACATGAAAAAGCCAAATGTTTTCTGGAATGTACTTGCTGTTGAATTCAATGAATAACCATTGGCTTTAAACATCTTACATTTTTATAACTTTTTAATTTGTCCAAGTGAACACTTTTAGCTCTAAACATATTTTACCACTATAAATTTGGAAATATTATCAGATTCCCCTTTAATTTGTGCTAAATTAATGTTCTTCTTAAATTCTTTTATAATGTTCTTACTTGGTGTTTTTCTACTCAGCTTATTCAGTGAACTTAATTTTTCAGTTGATTCACATTCAGCATTGACACTTTAAACAACTGAGTGATAGAGTGGTCCCTTGGTGCCTGCAGGGGTTTGATCACAGGATCCCCTTGGATATCAAAATTCAAGGATGCTGAAGTCCCCTATAAACAATGGTATAGTATTTGTATATAACCAATGGAAATCTTCCTGTATACTTTGTTTTATTTTTTATTTTATTTTACTTTATTATTATTTTTTAGAGATAGAGTCTCACTCTGTTACCCAGGCTGGAGTGAAGTGGTATAATCATAGCTTACTGCAACCTCAAACTCATGGGCAAAAGCAATCCTCTCACCCCAGCCTCTCAAGTAGATGGAACTACAGGTATGTATACCAGCCTGGCTAATTTTTAATTTTTTTTTTGTAGAGATGGAGTCTTGCCCAGGCTGGTCTCAAATTCCAGATCTCAAATGATCCTCCCTTTGGCCTCCCAAAGTGCTGGGATTACAGGTATAAGCCATTTCACTGAACCACCTTCCATATACTTTAAATCATCTCTAGATTACTTATAATACCTAACACAATGTAAATGCCGTGTTAAAGTTTCTAAATATATTCCATAATAATTTTTATCTGTGTTATTTTTTAGTTTATTTTAAAGTTTCTAAATATATTCTATACTAAATTGTTTATTTGTGTTATTTTTTATTATTGTATTGTTACCTTAAAAAATTACTTTGGGATTCAGGGGGTGTTTTGCAGGTTTGTTACATAGATATATAGCATAAGGGTGAGGTTTGTGTTTCTAGTGTATCCATCACCCAAATAATGACTATTGTACTTGATAGGTAACTTTTAAACTCTTAACCCCCTCCTATCCCGCCCCCCCAACCTTTTGGTGTCTCCAGTGTCTATTATTTCCATCTCTATGTTCATATATTCCCACTCTTTAGCTCCTGCTTACAAGTGAGAATATGAGATATTTGATTTTCTTTTTCTGAGTTATTCACGTGGGAGAATGGCTTTCTCCTTTGTTGCTGCAAAGGACATGACTATTATTTTTTAATGGTTGCATAGTATTCCATGGTGTATATATACAACATTTTCTTTGTCCAGTCCACTGTGGATGGACACACGTTAGTTTTATTGCTTTGCTACTGTGAATAGTGCTGAGATAAACATACTAGTGCAGGGGTCTTTTTTATATAATAATTTCTTTTTCTTTGGGTAGACACTCCATAGTAGGATTGCTGGATTGAATGTAGTTCCATTCGTAGTTATTTCAGATATCTACATGTTGTTTTCCCTAGAGGCTGAACTAATTTACATTCCCACCAACAGTGGAATTCCTTTTTCTTCTCATCCTTGTCATCTGTTGTGCACGTGTGTGTGTGTTTTACTTCTTTTTTTAATGAACGTTTTGACTGGTGTAAGATATCTCAGAGTGGTTTTAACTTGCATTTTCCTGATGATTAGTGATGTTGAACCTTTTTGCATGTGTTTCTTGGCCACTTGTATTTCTTCTTTTGAGAAATGCCTGTTCATGTCTTTTGCCTAGTTTTTAGTTTGGTTGTTTGCTTTTTCTTGTTGAGTTGTTTGAGTTCCTTATAGATACTGGATATTAGTCCTTTGCTGGAGGCATAATTTGCATGTATTTTCTCCTGTTCTATATGTTGTTGGTTCACTCTGTTGATTATTTCTTTTGCAGCATGAAAGCTTTTTAGTTTAATTAAGTCCCATTTGTATTTTTGTTGTTGTTGTTGCCTTTGCTTCTGGGTCCTTCATTATAAATTCTTTGCCTAGGCTAATGTCCAGAAGAGTTTTTCCTAGAGTTTTGTCCAGAAGTTTTATAGTTTCAGGTGTTACATTTAAGTCTTTTATCCATCTTGAGATAATTTTGTATATGGTGAGAGATAGGGGTCCAGTTTCATTCTTCTGCACTTGACCAACCAATTTTCCAAGCACCATTTATGGAATCCAGTGTCTTTCCTCCATTGTTTATTTTTGTCACTTTTGTTGAAGATCAGTTGTTTGCAAGTATTTTGTTTTATTTATGGTTTCTCTACTTTGTTCCATTGATCTATGTGTCTACTTTTCTGCCAGTACCATGCTGTTTTAGTTACTATAGCCTTGTAGGATAATTTGACATCAGGCAGTGTGATGCCTCTGGATTTGTTCTTTCTGCTTAGGATTGCCTTGGCTATTCAGGCTTTTTGTTGTTATTGTTCCATATGAATTTTAGGATTTTTTTTCTAATTCTATAAAGAATGTTGTTGGTATTTTGATAAAAATTGCTTTGAATCTCTAGAATGCTTTGGGTGGCATGGTCCTATTAATGATATTGATTCTTCTAATCCATTGCATGGGATGTTTCTCCATTTGTTGTGTTATCTACCATTTCTTTCATCAATATTTTATAGTTCTCCCTGCAGAGATCATTCACTTTTTGGTTAAAAGTATTCTCACATTTTTTGTGGCTATTAGAAATGGGATTGTATTTTTGATTTGGTTCTCAGCTACAATGTTACTGTTGTATAGCAATACTACTGACTTCTGTACATTAATTTTGTATCCTGAAACTTTCCTGAAGTTGTTTATCAAATCTAGGAGTCTTTTGGAGAAAGCTTTAGTTTTTTTTTTTTTCCTAGATGTATGATCACGTTGTCAGCAAATAGATAATTTTATTTCTTTTTCATTTTGGATGCTTTTTTTTTTTCTCTTGCCTGATTGCTCTGACTAGGACTTCCAGTGTTATATTGAATAGTAGTGGTGATGGTGGACATCCTTGTCTTGTTCCAGTTCTTAGGCAAAACATTTTCAACTTTTCTTTATTCTGTATAATGGAGGCTGTAAGACTGTCATATATGGTTGTTATTATTTTGAGTTATGTTTCTCTGATGTCTTGTTTGTTGAGATTTTTTTTATCATGAAGGGATGTTGGTTTTATTAAATGCTTTTTCTGGATCCACTGGGATGATTATATGGTTTTTGTTCTTAGTTTCTGTTTATGTGATGAATCACATTTATTGATTTGCATATGTTGAACCATCATTGCATCTCTAGAATAAAGCCCACTTGATCATAAGAAGTTATCTTTTTGATGTGCTGTTAAATTTTGTTTGTCAATATTTTGTTAATTATTTTTGCATATTTCATCAGGGATATTGGGCTGTAATTTTTTGTGTGTGTGTGTTCCCTTGCTTGATTTTGGTATCAGGGTGATACTGTATTTATAGAATGAGTTAGAAAAGAGTCCCTTCTTGATTTTTGGAAATAGTTTAAGTAAGATTGGTATTAGCTCTTCTTTGCACATCTGGTAAAATTTGGCTGTGAATTCATATTGTCCTGGAGTTTAGTTTTTTGGAAGTTTTTTTTATTACTGATTTGATTTCATAATTCATTACTGGTCTTTTCAGGATTTCTATTTCATACTGGTTCAATATGGGGATAATATATTGTTCCAGAAATTCACTCATTTCCTCCAGGTTTTCTAATTTGTGTGCATAAAGGTGTTCATAGTAATCACCAATGACCTTTCATATTTCTATGGTATCAGTTGTAACATCATCTTTGTCAAGTCTGACTGTGCTTATTTGAATCGTCTCTTTTTTTTTTCTTGGTTAATCTAAGTAGCACTGTCAGTTTTGTTTAACCTTTCAAAAAATCAGCTTTTCATTTCATTGATCCTTTTTTTTTTTTTTTGGTCACAATGTCATTTATTTCTGCTCTGATCTTTGTTATTTCTTTTTTTCTGCTAGCTTTAGGTTAGGTATGTTCTTGTTTTTTCAGTTCCTTGAGGTATGACATTGTGTTGTTAATTTGAAATCTTTCCACCTGCTTGATGTAGGCATTTTGTGCTATAAACTTTCCTCTTAGCGTTGCTTTTGCTGTATCCCTTAGGATTTGGCACATTGTGCCTCTATTTTCCTTCATTTCAAAAAAATTTTGAATTCGACTTTCATTTTATTGTTTATCCAAAAGTTGTTCAAGAGTAAGTTGCTTAGTTTCCGTGCACTTGTGTAGTTCTGAGAATTCCTCTTGGTATTCATTTCTAATTTTATTCCATTGTGTTCTAAAAAAGTATTTGATATACTTTCAAGTTTTTGAATTTATTGAGACTTGCTTTATATAAGGTCAAGCATATGGTTGATTTTGGAGAATGTTCCATGATCAAATCAGAAGAATGTATTTTCTGTAGTTGTTGGGTAGAATGTTCTGTAAATGTCTATTAGGTATATTGGGCCTACAGTCTAGTTTCAGTCCAGAGTTTCTTTGTTGATTTTCTGCTTTGATGATATGTCTAGTGGTGTCAGTGGGATGTTGAAGTCCCCTACTATTATTGCATTCCTGGTAATATGTTTTCCTAGGTCTAGAAGTATTTATGGTAAGAATCTGGGTGCTTCAATGTTGGGTGCATATATTTTACGTAGTTATAATTTTTTGTTTTATTGAAGCCTTTATTGTTATATAATTCCCTTGTCTTTATTTTACAGTTGCGGTTTAAAGTCTGTTTCTCATATCAGATATGAGATCTGATATCAGATATGAGATTCTCATATCAGATATAAGATATGAGATCTGATATCAGATATGAGATTCTCATATCTGATATGAGAATGGCTATTTCTACTCACTTTTGTTTTCCATTTACATGATATATCTTTTTCCACCTCTTTACTTTGAGCCTGTAAGTGTCCTTAGCTATAAGGTGGATCTCCTGTAGGTAACAGATGGTGGGATCGTATGTTTTATCCAATTTGCTAGTCTAAGTCTTTTAAGTGGAGAATTTAAGCCATTTATATTCAAGGTTAATGTTGATATGTGGGGTTTTGTTCTTGTCATAGTTTGTTAGCTACTTGCCTTGGAATCTCAATTGTAATTACCTATAGAATCTGTGAGCTTTCTATTATGTGTGCTTTGATATTGGTGAGTATTTTCCTTTCATTTCCGTGTTAAAACTCCTTTGAGCATTTCTTGTAGGACTGGTATAGTGGTGTTGAATTCTCTTAGCATCTCCTTCCCTGAGAAATACTTTTTTCTCCTTCATCTATGAAGCTTATTTTGATAGGATATACTATTGGCTGGCTTTTTCTTTTCTTTGAGCCGGTAAAAATAGGGCTTCAATCTCTTCTGGCTCCAAAAGTTTCTGCTGAAAACTCTAATATTAGTCTGATGGGATTTCTTTTATAGCTGATTTGGTGTTTTTCTCTGGCTACTTTTAGGATTTGCTCTTTCACGTTAACCTTAGATAGCCTGGTGAGTATATAACTTGGTAATGTTCATCTTGTGTAGTATCTCCAAGATATTCTCTGGATTTTGTATATCTGCATATCTACATCTTTAGCAAGATCCAGGAAATTTTCCTGAATTATTTTCTTAAGTAATTATTTTCTAAACTTCTTACTTTTTCTTTTTCTCCTTCAGGAATGGCTATGAATCACAAGTTTGGTTGCCTTATAAAATGTTGTGTTTCTTAAAAGCTTTGTCATTTTTAAAAATTCTTTTTCCTTTATCTTTTCTGACTGGGTTTATTCAAAAGATTGGTCTTCAAGGTCTTAAATTATTTCTTCTGCTTGGTCTAGTCTCTTGTTAAAGCTTTCAATTGCATTTTGAAATTGTGTCCATGAACTTTTTATTTCCAGAAGTTCTCTCTGTTGTTGATATGTTTTTAAAGATATGTGTGAAAAACAACCCAAGAATTGTTTTTCTGGTTTATGTTGGTTTTCAACTTTCCCTTGGATGTCATTGAGCTTCCTTATAATCTATGTTTTGAATTCTATGCCTGTCATTTAAAATGTTTCATTTTGGTTAGAATCCATTGCTAGGGAGTTAGTGTGGTTCTTTTGGGGGTGTGTCACAACATTCTGTTTCTTCATGTTGCTGGAGTTCTTGGCTGGTTCCTGCTTATCTTTCAGAGGTTGTGATTCTTATTTTTGAATTTACTTTCATTGGGATGGGGGTTTTTCCCCTCGCTTGCTGGTGTGACTGTAGAGCATGTTGGGTAGAGTCTTTTGGCTTTGCTTCTATTGCCCTGTGCGCTTCTGTTATAGTTTTATATCAGATTTTGCAGTCACACTTACAGGTCAGTAGATGACACTAACAGGTAAGAGCCAGCTATGGCAAAAGCAGATGGGTATGTACTAGATCTTTGTTTACTGTGTGGTGCATTCTGGTGACACAGCTGGGCAGGCCTGGATCATCTGGCTTGCCCATGAATATTCCAGTGATGAGCACAGGAACTAATCCTGATGGGAGTGGCTCAGGAGCTCCTGGTGAAATATGATGATGTCTGCTGGAGGTAAGTGGGCTGTGCTAGCTTTATGTCCAAGACAGGCAGGAATGCAGTATGGGTCCCCATCACACCCCTGTGCTGGGCTCTTGACTCTCACATCAAATGCACACTGTCATCTACCTCAGCCCTCAGTGTAGCTAAGAGCCATGGAAGATAGCTGTGCTGTGGTTTTCTGTGAGACTGGTTTCAGGGTGGAACCCCCTCCCTCAACCTACGTATTGCTTTATTTTTTTCTTTTCTTTTCTTTTCTTTTCTTTCTTTTTTTTTTTTTTTTTTGAGAAGGAGTTTCACTCTCGTCGCCCAGGCTGGAGTGCAATGGCATGATATCGGCTTACTGCAACCTCCACCTCCCAGGTTCATGAGATTCTCCTGCCTCAGTCTCCTGAGTAGCTGGGATTACAGGCACTGCCACCATGCCTGGCTAATTTTTTGTATTTTTAGTACAGACTGGGTTTTGCCATGTTGGGCAGGCTGGTCTCAAACTCTTGACCTCAGGTGACCCACCCACTTTGGCCTCCTAAAGTGCTGGGATTACAGGTGTGAGCCACCGTGCCCAGCCTGCTATTTTTCTATCGTTCTTTCCAAATATTTTCAATGGCCGTTAGTTGAATTCATTGATGTAGAACCCATGGATACAGCAGGCCAACTGTGTTAGTAATATCCCTCAATTTGTCAACAACCAATGAAAAGCACTCTAAATCATTTTTCTTTAAAAAAATTATTTGATTTTTCTCCTAAAGTCCTCAACTCTTTGAACAACTGTTCTTGCAGAAAGGCTAATAGTCCTAAACAAGATTACTTTCTCTGAACATATTTCCTTTTCTGTAGCGATCAATATTGTGATAAATGCTGAATCTGGTAATATCAACATACATTATAATCTTTTAGCACAGCTATATTGTTATCATATAACGAATACAATTCTTGTTAACTAAGATAACAATATCCACACTTGATTCTGCCTTTAAGTGCAAAGCCCACTTTTCTTGTTTTCACAGAATGGGTATGCAGTGATAATAAAAAATAAAGTTGCAATATGGAGATATACATGTTATTTGAAGAGCTGTCAAGTTATAACTATGTCACTGTGATTTGTGAATTGAATAGCAGTGAAAAGTAATGAGAGTACCAGATAAGGTCTTTGTTTCACGTACTCAACTCGGCAGCCATAGAGAATACATAAACCAATGAGTACTGCTTAGTTAAATAAAACTTTATCTCCGGACACTGAAATTTGAATTTTATATAATTTTCATTTTGTCATTCCTTGTCAGAATGAAAAAATGTACCATAATTACACAGAAATATTCAAGTTAGATTGAAAACCTAGAGACTGGTCATCAGTTAGTTTAAAAGAATCATAGCGTGTGTGAACATGTCTTAAAGGATACTGAGTCTGACTCAGTAAATTTTTTAGAAAATAAATCAACGGGCTGGGCCTGGTGGCTCACGTCGGTAATCCCAGCAATTTGGGAGGCTGAGGTGAGTGGATCATCTGAGGTCAGGAGTTCGACACCGGCCTGACCAACATGGTGAAACTCCATCTCTACTAAAAACACAAGAATTAGTGTTGGGTGCCTGTAATCCCACCTACTTGGGAGGCTGAGACAGGAGAATTGCTTGAACCTGGGAGGTGGAGGTTACAGTGGGCCAAGATCACGCCACTGCACTCCAGCCTGGGCGACAGAGCGAGACTCCATCTCAAAAATAAATAAATAAATAAATAAATAAATAAATAAATGGTCTGAAGTGTTAAATGACTCATGCAAGACACATAGTAACAGTAGAGCTAGAAATCTTGTTTTAAAATTTTCTATGTAGTGTATTTCTCTAATTACAACATGGACTTTATATATACAGTAATGAATACACATTTTTGTTTGTTTGCTTTATAATACTTGTCACTCTTTTGGAAAAAAATTTATATTAAGCATAAAAGTCTCCACAACCAATGTACAGACTAAGTAGCAATAATAATAGTTACAATAATAAGGCAAATACCAATGTACCTGCTATTAATCTTAAGAAAGACAAGTGATGATGGTGGCATACCTAGCTTTTTAAATTTAAAATATGATACTTTCAACACTCCATGATTTTTTGTGATTTTAGTGTAATTACCTTTTCTTTTTAAAAATAGATTCCCTTTCTCGGGTTAAGAAAGTTCCCTTCATTTCTTAGTGTCCTAAAGGATTTTCTGGTACTCCTAATTTTGGTCCTCTGGCCTGAAGCTCAAGTTTTAGGAATTCTTCTCTGCAGCTCATTTTCTGCAACTGTGCTCATGTCTGGGGTCAAGTGACAGGAAGACTGAGAAAGAAAATAAGCACCTATCCTCTTTAGACCACCACTTCTCTATTGGAAACAAAGTTTCCCTTGCCTCAAATTTTAGGTACCTTTTGGACCTTGCTGGTGCCAATATTCCTCGTTTATACCACTACTGTGAGATCACCTGAAGGCTAGGGCATGAGAGAAAAGAAAAAAAAAATAGAGACAAATGGGGAAATTTCCCTCCACGTTCTCTGAGTGTCAGGAAACCTTTCCGAGTCTTCAGGAGAGAACTTGAGGGTTTCTAGAACTCTCTCTGTTGCCACTTCCATGTTTTGGGCTGCCTTGGGCCCCAGCTATGTTCCATGGAGGAGATAGTTTGTAGAGTGCTTCCTCCTTTGACCCAGAATTAGGACTAGCCAGCAGAACTTCTTATATTTCTAGCTCTGCTTAGAGCGAAGTTCGAGACAGGCAACCATATTTATCTTCTTCTATGGAACTTTTTTTTTTTTTTTTTTTTTTTTTTTTTGAGATGGAGTCTCACTCTGTCACCCCAGGCTGGAGTGCAGTGGCGCGATCTAGGCTCACTGCAAGTTCTGCCTCCCAGGTTCACACCATTCTCCTGCCTCAGCCTCCCGAGTAGCTGGGACTACAGGCGCGTGCCACCACGCCTGGCAAATTTTTTGTATTTTTAATACAGACGGGGTTTCACCAAGTTAGCCAGGATGGTCTCAATCTCCTGACCTCATGATCCTCCCACCTCGGCCTCCCAAAGTGCTGGGATTGCAGGTGTGAGCCACTGTGCGCGGCCTATGGAACATTTTTTTAACTAATAGACCTTTTGAAGGTATTGCCCTTCCCTTTAGGGAGCCTTCTTTTGTGTGGAGGTGCTCACTTTGATCTTCCATCTTGCTTGTCTCTAGATTTTATTTATCTCCTGTATTCAGGGGCTTCTGAAATGCCAACCTAGGGAAAATGCCTGCTTTAATGTGCTGCATAGTTCTCTGGAATCAATTTTTCTTTGCTCTTACCTCTGAGGTTATTCCCTATTTTTAAATAAACTCATCCATGACAAAAAGGTAGATTGTTTTAATATTTTATATAGTATTATAAATATTCTCTATGTGGAGTACTTTTTTATACCTCTAGCTCAAAACACTTGCTACAAATGGCAGTTTTGATGGATTTTTAAAAAATAAAATTGATTTGTGGTTTTGATATGATGTGCATATGTTCCAAGGAATGGCTCTAGTGAACCCCTAGTTACATTACCTTGGTGAATTAATGAATCAGCAACTCTATCTCTAATATTTCAATTTATCTCTCTGGAATATTTTTTTCTCAGATTTTTTTAAACATTTGAGATAAAGAGAAGTCAAATTGACTTGATTTTAGGTATTCACTTGATACATGGGTATATTTGCATTAGATTCTAGTTCATCCTCAGTGCTAATTTCAAACAATATGAACTCAATGATACATTTACTGTAATTTAAGTATCAATGATTATGATGAATATGAATTTCTTTGGATTTGTAAAGTCCACCTCTAAATATACTTAAGTGACAACTCTGGTATAAATCGTCTTCTCATTCTGTACCCTTTATCCTTCTGCTGTCTCCTGTCACCTACCTTCAGAAACGTGTCTCTGTTCCTACAAAACATTGAGAAAATGAAGTATTAGAACAAGGTGGTTTCTTCTGGAAAGATTTGCATTTTAACCATGATAAAAGCTTTATGAGTCTATGATAACAAAACTTCAGGTACCAGAGAGGATTTTGAGAGAAAACTCACACGAAAAAATTGGCCTAAGATTGTGGCATAATACAAAATGCATGGCTTTCAGATTTTAAAATTTTGTGTTGATTTATTGAAGGAATTTAGGTGGGAAAAGGTGGTTATTTTCTATGATGCCTGGAGGTTAGCAATACATCCTCATTCCCTAATAAAACCCAGTGATGCTCAGTGTGATTTACAAGAAGAGTATTTGAGGAATAGTGAAATATATAAAGACAGCATTTTTTTCATAATAACTAAGTCAGCAGTGTGACTCCCTATGGCAAACTTTATTTCAAAGTCTCATAAGCCTATTAATTCTTCAGTAAGCGGATTCCACTGGACAGGGTATTAGGTATATCTGGAAGGCTTGAAGGGGTAAGTTCTGAATAAGTTGTAATTTTAGGGTTTTAAATTAGGTTTAACAAAGCCTGTAGGGTATTTGAGTCTAATATTCTCTGCACATTTGAAAATTAATGTTTGTGGCGTAAAAACATCTGGGTTAGAGATTAAGCTTTCTTTGGTGTAAAACATTATTACAACAGTAGATATGTAACTAGAGAGAGAAATTGAAGTTTCTGGGTGTGCTCCAGTTCAGTAGGTAGTTTAGTTATTGCACTAATTCCTCCCGCTTGCATTCTCTTTGTGGAGTACTTGGAATTCCTTGGTATGTGTGGCTTCCTAAGTAATACATCTGATCCTGATGAAAGCCAACCAGACCTATCCTCGGAGGGTGAACTTACTCTTAGATGTTGAAAGTGAAAGTCAACAACCACTCTGCTGTCTGTATTAGAGATATTTATCAGAGCAAATAAATGATATGAATATAGAGCAAACTGAGTGTCTTGGGTATAAAGTAATGATGATCAGGCCTGTGTTAAACATGTCACATAATCATTGTTGACTCAATTTTGCTTGATCTTTGGATGTAGCCAGCCTTGGGATGTAGCCAGCCTTAATCTTGGATGGATCTTGCTGCACGTTTTAGAATGAAGTCTGTGAGTTGCCATGAAATGGGCTTCCATGATTATGATATAGTGGCTCATCGGTTTGTTTGGATTCACTTAAGCTGTGGTGACAGACATGCACTGAGCCAGTGAATGGTGGAAAATATCCTCTAGGGCTCCTCATTAGTCACACTAGAGACTCAAACATCATTTAAAACATATAAGCTTCATATGACTTGATCATCCAGTATGTGAATTTTCTTTCCAAATCAATCAATCGTTCTCTCCCACATGCCTCCATCAAAACAAGTTATCCAGTGTTACAGCTCTTTTAGAATTTGTCTAGCAAGTTCTCTGGTCTTCACTGGAAAACCCATAAAACATTAATAATAAAACTAGTTTTCTAAAGAACAGCTACTCGTTTGCTATCTCTTCTAGTAGACGTAGGGAGTTCAAACTGTTTTCACCATTACTGCTTTTGAATCCACATAGCATTATGTCTAGTGGCATTCTAATCTCTGGTGCTTCGAATGATGCTCAATTAATATGCTACAGTACTTGTGTGGTAAGAGCTTCATGAGATGATGTCTGGGATCTGCTCAGTGCCCAAGTTTCAAGTATAGGACTTAAAACATAGTTGTTACCTGATATCTGCCCTTGGTAAATGCTTCCTATTTCCTTCTCTCATACCTACTTCCTAGTGAAAGGTTGACAAGCAGGAGTTATACATCCAGAATGATCCTTTATTGCTCTTCTTCCTGTATTTACTCTGCAGAGAAACACTGAAGGATAGCATGCACAAAGTTGTGAAGGAAGGTGTGGCAGACAGACCCTAAGGTGAGCTCCCATTATCCTTGCCTTTTAGTATTTATAATGTTGTTTAACCCCCTTCTCCTAAATGTGAACAAGGCCCTTGACTTTCAGCTAATCAGTAGAATAGGGCAAATGAGATGACATGTCAGCCACTTGATTAGGTTATGTTATATTGCAAAGGTAAAGAAATTTTGCATATATAGTTAAGGTCCCCAAACCAGTGGTTTAGAAGTATCAAAAGGGAGGTTATCCGGAGAGATCAGGTGAAAACCCTTGACAAGATGACTGGGCCTTCCCTGAGTGACAAACTCTCCTGCTGACCTTGAAGAAACAAGCAGCTAAGATGTGAACTGCCATGGAGAATGCCAGGTGGCAGGGAACCAAAGGCAGCTTCTAGGAGCTGAGGGCCTCAGTGCTACAATTGCAAGAAATTAAATTCTGCCAACAACCACACGAACTTGGAAGAGTACCCTTAATTTCAAATGAGATTGTAGCCTGGTTGACACATTGATTGCAGCCAGTGAGACTCTCAACAAAGAACCCAGTTATGTTCCCAGACTCCTGACTCACATAAATGGAGTATTTTAAAGTGTTGGGCCAGGCACAGTGGCTCATGCCTGTAATCCCAGCACTTTGGGAGGCTGAGGCAAGAGGATCACTTGAGGTCAGGAGTTCAAGACCAGCCTGGGCAATGTGGTGAAACCCTGTCTCTACAAAAATATTAAAAAATTAGCTGGCCCTTGTGGCATCCGCCTATAATCCCAGGTACCTGGGAGGCCGAGGCAAGAGAATCACTTGAATCCAGGAGGCGGAGGTTGCAGTGAGCTGATATCGCACCACTGCACTCCAGCAATGTAAGACTCCATCTCAAAAAATATATAAATAAATAAAATGTATATAAAATAAACAAGTAATGTATTTTAAAATGTTAAATTTATGGTAATTTGTTATACAATAATTAAAAGAAATGAATACACAAGTAATATAGGAGATTTGGGATTTTATAATCACAGACCTGTACCCAAGAGAGGTGACTACAAACTTTCTGCTCACATAAAACGTGTGGAGAAGGACTCCCTTCTTAATATTTATACCTGTGAGAGGGGATTTGTAGCCAGATAGGCTCAAATTATGATCTTACCTCTGCCACTTTATAAGCTGAATAATTTGTGGCAAGTTCTTTCACTTGTTTTAACTTGTCTTCTCATTAGACAAAGGGGATAATAGTAGTAATGACTTTGCAGTATTGTGGAGATGAAAGTGAGATATGTCAAGTGCTGAGCCCACAGTTGTTCAAAAACACTACTCTCCTTCCCCATTCTTTATGTTTGCCAGGTGCCTCTCTCTTTTGTATACATATTTAAATTACACGTATACTTTTAGATTCAGCTCATATGGTTTATTGGTCACATTTTCTAGTTCATTAACTAGACTTCAAGCACCTAGCAGATAAGGATATGTCTCATTCTTTTGTGTTCCCAGCATATAGCACAAATGCTGGCATAACACAGGTGTCCCTGTGACACTCCAGCTCAGTTGGATCTCTTCTTTGAACTCAAATGTGTGTGTTTGGGATGGAATGCAGTCGATTTTGTACAGAGGCTTGAGGAGGTGGTGATTGATTTACTAGGGCCGGGTGGGGGGATTGGTTTGACCAGGTATGCCATTTACATAGCCTGGGAAAAGCCTGGCCTTCCCATCTTAGTCTTTTATTATGCAAATGTGCCACTGCCTGGAGCTCTGCCAGGATGCATGCACAGTGTGGTATTACCTGGAGGCCGCCATGACACGGGCACACGTGGTGAAAAGGAGAAGAGAGTGGGAAACGCCATATTGAATGTACTTGGCTTTCAGGTACAGCTGCCAGCATTTACATATAAAAGCTTCTAGTTTGCATATTTATGCCTGACTCTTCAGGCTGCTTTCTGTTAGAGAAGAAATAGTTTGGGGCTGCTTTTTATTAAAGGAAAATTCCACCTAGAACTCTTCTACCCTTTTTAGCTTTTTACTCTTTCTCCACCACTTATTTTACAATACTGCCTTTCCTATTTCTTTAATTTTAATTTTGCTCTTGCTTTCTGAATTTTCATCTGTAGGTCATGTCTCCCAAACAGATTATAAACTCCTTTAGGGTAAAACTTATTTATATCCAATACCTTGTGTGTTTGTCTGCTCTCATGCTGTGAATAAAGACATACCTGAGACTGGGTAATTTATAATGAAAAAGAGGTTTAATGGACTCACAGTTCCACATGGCTAAGGATGTCTCACAATCATGGCAGAAGGCGAATGAGGCTTGTTTTACATGGCACCAGGCAAGAGAGCTTGTGCAGGGGAACTCCCATTTGTAAAACCATCGGATCTCATGACACTTATTCACTACCACAAGAACAGAATGGGGGAAACAACTCCCATAGTTCAACTATCTCCACCTGGCCCCACCCTTGACACATAGGGATTATTACGGTTCAAGGTGAGATTTGGGTGGGACACAGCCAAACTATATCACCTTGCCTAATAGTGAAAATATACGTAGCATTTCTAAAAAAATAAAAGAGGGACTTGAATGGGATATTACAATCGGTCATGGACTTAAATGTTCATCAGTTAAAATAATTTGCACTCTTGTTTACTTAGAGATTAAATACCTTGAAGCGATGATATTTATTATTAAGCAGGTGCATTGCTGCCCAATTTTTAATTTTTATTTTTTGGATACACTGAAGTATAATATCACTTGAGTGTCACTGACCAAAAATTTTATTGTATTATAGTGTGAAATCTAGTTTGGAGATTTTAATGAATAGTTAGCTCTTCAAGAAGTGGTTAAATTGGTTTTTAATTAAATTTCATTTTATTTGTAGTGATTAATTTTAAACTAATTTAGGATTAGATAAATGAGAGTAATCTTGAAATCAAGAAACTGACTTAATTATGAGAAATAGCTATTTCTTACGGTGAAATGAGAAACAAAATATTAATTTCATCTAAGAGGACACTGTTTTAGCTAAGATAAAATTACAAAGAAAGCATTTGGGGAGGAAATTTTGCATTTAAAATAAACTTAGGATAAAGAACATACGTTAACTGAACCACTGATGAAGAAAGCTTGCAGCTTAAGTTTTCTAACTGAAAAGCAGTTACCATTTGTGAACCCTGAAAATCTGAGACAGGTCTCAGTTAATTTAGGAAGTTTATTTTGCCAAGGCTGAGGACACATGCCCATGACACAACTTCAGGAGGTCCTGACGACATGTGCCGAAGGTGATCAGAGCACAGTTTGGTTTTACATTTTAGGGAGACATGAGACATCAAACAACATATGCTAGGCATACATGAGACAATCAACATATGCAAGATGAACATTGGTTTAGTCTGGAAAGGCGGGACAACTCAAAGCAAGGCAGGAAGACTCGAAGTGGGGATGGCCTTCCAGGTCATGGGTAGAGAAGAGACAAATGGTTGCATTCCTTTGAGTTTCTGTTAGCCTCTCCAAAGGATGCAATCAGATATGGATTTAACTCAGTGAGCAGAGGGTGGCTTTGAATAGAAAGGGAGGCAGGTTTGCCCCAGTAGTTCCCACATTGACTTTTCCCTTTAGCTTAGTGATTTGTGAGCCCCAGTTTTCACACCATAAAGTTATCTTCAAAGGGGATAAGATCTGGAGGTTGAAGGAAAGATTCGTCTTCATGATTCATCTCTGATTATTTGTCCAATCTATTTTTACATTTTCTAATTGATGCAGCATTTTAAAGTCTTTAAAAATATTACATTAGTTATTCGTAGACATTGTTAGAAAGGTGTAATAGATGTAATAAAGTTTTCTGTCTGTTAATTTGATATAATTTTTTTCACAAGCTCTGTTGTTTGACTAAACGTCTTTCTTCTCTTGACTTATCAACTATCCCGTGTTCCTGTTCCTTCATCTTTGCCACTGACATGATCTATATATACTACATTTATTTCTTTTCGTCCACTTTATGCACTATATTTCTTCCACTATATTTTACTTTGCAGTCTAAATATAGAAAATTTGTTTTATTTTCACAATAGGTAGATTGAAGATATAAGAATATTTAGTTTCATAGTGTCATAGTATACAGAAAATTCAGCTGCTTATTTTTTTCCAGTAGCAGTACCATGACTGAAGATGCATTAAAATATAAACACACACACATGAACACACAGACATTCACATGCACACATGTACACTAAGTCAAAAGAGAAAAGTTGGCAGGTAGAAAAACAATATGAAATTGAATAGAATTAAGTAATTACATGTCATGACAAAGAATCCCTCTATACTACTCCAATGGTGTTGTTGATAACATACAACGTTGGATATGGATATGAAGTAATATTTCTGAAGAAAACAAAATCTGTACCCATTTTGTGTCCAGTACATTTTAAAATAAATCACTTTCCTATTTTAGTGGCACAGACTGACTCTCCTTAGAGAGAGTTTCAACTTTTTCAATATAATCATATATGCAGTATAA
This sequence comes from Homo sapiens, assembly GCF_000001405.40. Lineage (NCBI taxonomy): Eukaryota > Metazoa > Chordata > Mammalia > Primates > Hominidae > Homo > Homo sapiens. The sequence goes on along the minus strand of NC_000006.12, from coordinate 49,339,864 downwards.
GTCTATATTTGATTATAAAATCCTCTGAAAGTATTTAAAATTTATTAACTTATTTGAAACCTACTACATTCTTGGGGCTTGTAGTATTAGTTCTACTTTGTAGACATAAAAACATAGGCACAGTGTGGCCAAGGACACCTAAAGGAAGAGGGAGTCTGCAGGACTTGAGTTCATGTTTCTCCTATTACATCTTGCTAAAATGGCTCATTGTCTGGGGTATACACCCTGGTTCTTTGTCTCTGTTGAGAAATAATTCAGGACATGGGCACACATGAGGAATGGAATTAGGAGCAGAAAGTTTAATAGACAAAAAAGAAGAGAGAGAGAAAGGGCTTCCTCAGGCTGAGAAGTGGGTCTCCCAAGAGAAGGTCTCTGGTTTGGGTGGAAGGCAATCGATTTTGTACAGATGCTTGAGGAGGTGGTGATTAATTTACATAGGGCCCAGGGGATTGGTTTGACCAGGTGTACCATTTACATATCCTGTGTAAAGACTGGCCTTCCCACACTAGTCTTTGTTATTATTATGCAAATTCGACCTCTACCTGGCAGTCACCATGATGCCTGAACACGTGGTTTTACTTGGTGGGTGCCATAATACTAGCACATGTGGTGACAAGGAAAAGAGAGTGGAAAACACCATTTTGAATATACCTAGCTTCCAGGTACAGCTGCTGACATTTACATATAAAAGCTTCTAGTTTGCATATTTATGCCTGACTCTCCAGGCTGCTTTCTGTTAGAGAAGAAATGATTTGGGGCTGCTTTTTATTAAAGGAAAATTCCACCCAGAACTCTTTTACTCTTTCTAGCTGCCTAAAAGTAATGTTTTAAAAACTCCTGTATTATTGTTATATCTTAATAGCAACTTGTGACTGAAATGTCTTTGAGTCTTTACTTTCTTACTTTTCCTTTTTTTCTTTCACCATTTAATTAGACACTAAATTCTGAACTTTCTTGTCTAACCTCAAAAGAAATGTCCAAACTGCTTTACAAAGTGGATGTTTCATTTTGCATTCATACCAGCAATGTCTGAGAGTTTACCACACTTTATCTGCACAAAAATTTGGTATCATAATGTTTTAGCTGTTAATTTTAGGCATTCTAATGTGTGTATAGTGATATCTTGTGATTTTCATTTTTATTTTTCTCATGACTAATGACATTGATCATCTTTGTATTTATTTTTTGACTTTCACATATCTTCCTTTCTGAAGTGGCTTTTTAATATTTTGCCCATTTAAAAAATATGTATTGTTTTCTTATTATTGAGTTTTGAGAGCTCTTTACATATTCTGGATACAAGTGCTTTGTCAGGTATTGGACATAAATGTATTTTCCTACTAACCTATGGCATGTTTTTCTCTGCTCTTAACAGAGTTGTTCACAGCATAAGATGTTTTAATTTTTTATGATAGTCAATGCATATATTTTTTTTCTTTCATGGATTGTATTTTGATGTTGTACTTAAAAATACTTTGGCCACAAAGATTTTCTCTACATTCTTTGCCTAAAAGTTTTATATTTCTATGAAACTTGTAGATTTATGCCTGTGATCCATTTTGAGCTAATTTTTGTATATACAGTGTGAGGTATACGTTAAGATATTTTTCTTTTTCTTTTCTTGCTTATGAGTGTCAAATTGTTTCAGCACCATTTGTTGAATGATAGGTTATTCTCTCTTTACTGAATTACTTTTGTAACTTTTTAAAAGGTAGTCAGTTTCTGGACCTCTTCAGTTCCATTGATCTATCTGTCTCTCTTTTCACAAATGCCACCTTGTCTTGATTTCTGAAATTTTTTAGTATGTGTTGAAATCAGGTAGTTGTAGTCTTCCTACGGTACTCTTCTTTTTCAGAATTGTTTTTGTATTTTAGTTTCTTTAATTGTCCATATATTTTATAATCACCTTGTATATATCTACAGAGAAATCTACTAGGATATTGGTTGAGATTGTATTGAATCTACAGATCAGTTTGGGAACATTTGACATCTCAACAATATTGAGATTTCTAATCAATGATAATTATATATATTTTCATTTACTTAGATCTTTGATTCTTTTTTCTGTGTTTATGATTTTTAGCTTAGATACTTTAGGATACTGATCTTATAGCCTATGATATTGATAAACATACTCATTCACTTTTGAAGTTTAAAAAATTTCTTTTGAATTTTTGACCTGGACAATCATTTCTTATGTAAAAAAGATGCTTATTGTTTCCTCTTTAATATACATGATTTTATTTCTTTTTCTTACCTTAATGTGCTGATGAGGACTTCCAGTATGATGATGACTAGAAGGGTTGAGGGTAGATATCCTTGCTTTATTTCCAGTCTTAGAAAGAAAACATTTAGTCTTACAGCATTAAATATAATATTTGCAGTTAATTTTAGATTTCCTTTATCAGGTTAAGGAAGTTGCCTTCTATCCCCAGCTGCTAAGACTTTTTCTCATGAATTTTGACTTCTGTAAAAGGCAAAAGATTTATACGATCTGAAGAGAAACCAGAATATTATGTTGACTTTTGTAAAATGCTTTGTCTGTTTTTTGATGATTGGTTTTTCTTTGTTAGTTTGTTAATTACATATTTGATTTACAAATGTTGAACTAGGTTCGTATTCCTAGGATATATCCTATTTGGTTGTGATATTGAAGCAGGAGATATGGGAGGAAAAACAAATTTTCCCTCTTTCCTTTGGTATAAGCAGCTTCCCCCTCGAATCCCAACCCCCTCCGTGAGATTGTACCCTGCTCTGCAAGTTTTTATGAGTTTATGGTTTCCTGTTTTCTGTAACTAGTGTCTGTAAGTCTGTTTTTTATCTGAGTAGCACAGCGGAGGTCATGAGACATGCTTGAGCAAGCTTAGATTGCAGCCATCTGGGCACCTAGTGAAGGACACAAGATAAGGCTGTGTAGGCATCTTGAGCAAACCTAGATAGCAGCCACCTGGCCTGCATAGCAAGAGTCATACGTAAGCCTGAGTTAGGAACCCTTCACAGTTTGATTAACTGCCTTTGTTCTGCTTCTGTAAGCTTGCTTTCCCCACCCTACAAGTTTCGTGCCAGTGGCAAGCCACCCCCCTTCAGTTGCATGAATAAAAGTCAAGCCCTCTCTTCGTTAATTGCTCAGCCTCTGGATATTAATCTGCTGAGCCAGTGGCCACCTAAATAAAATCCTCCTTTTCCACCCATCTGGTCTCTCGTTTCCTGCAACAGTATTTTAACCTCTCTCTATTGCTGAATTCAACTCTATATCTGTTGAGGTTTTTTGCATACATGTTCATGAGCAATATTGGTCTGTAGTTTTATTTCCTAATGATGTCTTTGTCTTATATTGGTATCAGGGCAATCTTGAACCAATGAGTTGGCTAGTGTTCCCTCTCCTGTTTTCTGGAATATATTATGTAGTGTTAGTGTTATTTCCTTCTTACCTTTAAAAACTGTCTGGGCCTGAAATTTTCCTGTGGAAACTTCCTTATTACTAATTCAATTTTATTTCATTTCATAGATATAGAAAAATTCAGGTTACCCATTTCTTCATAAATGTATTTTGGTAGTTTGCAATTTTTAAGGAATGGGTACATTCCTTTTAAGTTGCTGAATTTATCAGCATTGTGTTGTTCACAGTTTTTATTCCTTATTATTCCTTTAATGTCCATGTGGTATGTAGCAATAGTCTCTTTTTTGTTCCTGATAATGGTAATTTGTGTCTTTTTATTTTTATTTTTTTTGGTTACTCTGGCTAGAAGCTTTTTAATTTTATTAGTCTTTTCAAAGAACCAGATCTCTGTTTTCTGTTTTTTATTTCATTGATTTTCCCTCTAATATTTATTATGATTATTATTTCTACTGCTAGTAGTATCATTGCTCTGGCTGCTTGGGTTTAAGTTGTTCTTCTTTTTCTAGTTTGTTAATGTGGAATTTTAGATTGTTTGATACATTTATAATGTTCTAAACATTTAATGTTATAATTATTAAATGTTTAGAATCTTTAATGTTATAAATTTCTAAGTACTTCTCTATCTCCTTCTCACACATTTTGATATGTTATTTTTATTTTTATTTTATTTTACAGTTAAAATACTTTCTTATTTTCCCAGACACTTTATCTTTGACTCATAGGTTATTTAGAAGTTGTTTTCTATTTAAATTTCCAAGTATTTTAGAATGTTTCTGATATCTTTCTGTATTGTTTTCTTGTTTAGTTTCAATATGGTCACTGAACATACCTTTTTGATTTTGATTTCAATTCTTTTATCTTTGTTAAAGTTTGTTTTATTGTCCAGAAGATAATATATCTTGGAGAATATTCCATGTGAGCTTGATGAAAATATGAATTTTCATCTTGTTCTAGACTATGTTGAAATTACAGAAAACAATTATAACAATATTATGAAGCAGAACCCATAAAATAATTTGCAATATACAAGATATAAGAAGTGGGAAACTCTAAAATAGGAGAATGGGCTAATGTCATGGAACAGACCTTATGTTGATAAGATTAGTATGTTTCATTACACAGTATAATATTAATAGTAGAGAAGCATTGGTGTTACAGTCTAGTACTGTTAGCCAACTTTTCATGATTTATATTTTAAATAAATTGTAAGCTCTTCGAGTGGTGGGACAATGTGGCAGAGCCACAGTTGATAGACCTGTTCTACTTCTGGTTTCTGGACCTTGCTATAGAGGTTGAGTCTCACAAGATCGGAGCTGGCATGAGGACATGTATTATTTTAAAGAAATGTAGGACTGTGCAGTGTGAGGCTCATGCAGATACTTCAGCCGGGGGAAGGTCAATCAAGCTTTTCTATAGTTCCTTGGTGAGGAGACCTGGAATGGGAGGAGACATTGGGTCCTGAGGAAGGAACACAGCAAGGATGAGCCATGGTATTAGGGACGTAAATGGGGATGAGATCATGAAGAACCTTGAATGCATGCTAAGAAGTTTTTGGGAAACAAATATCTTGGTATCAACTATTGAGGCTAGATTTTTTTAACCTTTAAACACAGAAATGTCTCTTCAAATAAAGAGATGAATTACTTTCAAAAGTACAGTACTAGTAGCCGTATCAGTGGTGGGGACACGTCTCTCTTCTCATGTTTCCTGCTGAAGGGACTGAACTGGTGCAACATTGTTTTTCTTCCCATCTTTTTACTTACTCTACTCCAGTGTAAAAGGGTGGCTTATCTTTGGTAAGTTTGTGATAAGGTTAAACCAGGAGTGAGTATCCATTAATCATCTGTCCAGTAAATCTTAACCTGAGCAGGTTCTTTTTGTGTGAAGGGCTTTTTTTTTTTTTTTTTTTTTTGCTCACATTAAGCTCTCCACTCTAATTTTGTTTTTATTATTTATTACAGTGATTTTGGCCTCCACCAGATTCCCTTTTTTCTTTTTTTCAGAATTTGGAAAGGGAAAATGTATGCTATTTATTGGCTCTCCTTAGAGACCCCAGAAATAACAACAATGGGCATTTACAGAATGATTCATGTATAAGATTATCATTATTACTATCCCTATTATCCTTAGTGGTTCATGTCTAAGACTATGCTTATTACTGATATAATATAGGTCCTACTCACACTTCTACTGTGCCCAATGTTCCTGTCTTAGTATAACTGTAAATTTATAATTTTGTTTTAATTTTATACCCTATAAAATGTACAATTTTATCAATTAAAATATAAAACAAGTAATCCACTAAATAAACAAAAAAATGTGTTAAGGACCAAGGACTTAAAGATGAATAATGTCTAAATTTTAATAATAATAAAATCTCCATAACGATTAGAACAGAAGACATAGAAATATAGGTTTTAAAGAAATGTGTAGAATTTTCTGTAACATATGTCTACCCAAATTCCGAATCCCACACAAAATTTGGTCACGTAATGACTCACAGATGTCTTTTGTTGGCATTTCCAAGAGGCATGATATCAATTCTATGTAAGCTACTTTCTTGGAATATGAGTTTTATTTATTTTACTGAGAGATGAGATAGCCTGTGAACATTTTTTTCCTGGCTTAAAGTTACATTTTTTCCACATCTTCCTTTTTCAGAGATCCATTAATTTTTCCAGGTTTAGCAGGAAGAAAGCATAAGTTGTGGCTGTGTAAATGGTGTTACTATTTGCTTATCTCCATTTTAACAAGTATGGGAGTAATAAAGAACATATGTAAATATTACTGGGTATGGTGAAATAAAGAACATATGTAAATATTACTGGGTATGGTGAATGTTCCTTGGATCAGTGGTTCTCCAAGTGTGATCACTGCACCAGCAGCATTAGCATCACTGGGAAAATTGTTAGCAATAGAAATTCATGGAACTCCATGCCAGACCAAGTGAATCATAAACTCTGGGATGGTGTTTAGTCATCTGTGTTTTAACAAGCCCCTCAGGTGATTCTGATACACACTACCATTTGAGAACCACTACCTTACCTTAGAGAAAACAGTACTCCCTTGAAATCCTCAGCACAGGAGAATTTGGGAAACACATTACCTGCTAACGTCATTTGCTCCCATAAAGTATTATAGTGCAGGCCAAAGGCGAATACCCCCCATTTTTGAGATTAGCAATTATTATACCTTTGGTTGTAAGGAATCACCTGTTATAAGATTCCACAGTTACTTTCCTAGTAGTTTCAACATGTCAGGAAATATGTAAGGCTTAGTGAATATAGAAGTGAACAGAAGGGAAAATATATCTGCCCTCATTAATTTTTAATAACAGTTAAGAAGCAAGTAAATAAATATACAAACAATTGTGATAAATTTTGGAAGAGGAATACTAGCATGTGGATGTACTCACAGAATGTGGTTGGGAAAAGGGATTGTTATGCTAAGAGCTGGTTGTAGAGTCTTTCAAATGTCCTGAGACAGGAATGGGCTTGGCCTTTCTTAAAAAACAATAGAAACCCAATGTGACTATAACAGGATGAACTGAGAGAGACCTGGCATGAGATAAGCTTGGATTTCTACGCAGGGCAAGATCATGCTATTCCAAAAGGATTAGTCTACACCTCTCCATGCCTGATTCCTCATCTCCTATGAACATAAAACTTAGATCTATTTTCTTATAATCAGAATCCATTTAACAAATTCACTTTCCCAGCTTGAATTTAAGGCTGCAAATACTGGTTCTTGCCCATGTTTTCCCATGTGGCTCAGTACCCTGGAGACCAGTCTTAGCTCTGTCTGTAAAACTCTTGTTTTTCTAATATTAGTATATAATATGAACATCACCCAGCACATTTATTAGACCTTTTTATTAAAATTTGGCCCATGGTTATCTTGTTATATATTGCTGCATAACAAATTTTCCCTTAACTTAGAAGTTTAAAGTGATAGATATTTATTATCTCATAGTTTCTGCAGGTCAGAAATCCAGGAGTGGCTACTGCATAGTTTTGGCTCAGGGTTTCTGATGAGGTTCCAGTCAAGCTGCTGATCAGGGCTGAAGTCATCTGAAGGCTTGACTGGACTGGGAGGATCTGCTTTGTTTTTAAGATCATTTATGCTGTTGTTGGCTAAAGACCGTGGTTCCTTACAACATGGGCTTCTCTACTGCGCTGTTCATGACAGGACAGTTGGCTTCTCTCAGTGTAAATAATCCGAGAGAGAGAGAGAGAGAGAGAGAGAGAGAGAGAGAGAGAGAGAGAGAGAGAGAGCAACCAAGATGGGACCGTGTTTTTTTTTTTAACACTTATTATCAGAAATGATATACCGTCATTTCTGCCACATTCTATTGATCACAAAGACCAACTTTGCCACAATATGAGCAGGGAGGAAACAAGATTACAAATCCTAAATGGCAAAGATCTTTGGGAGCCATCCTTGAGGAGACTGTCATATGAATTTTGGATTCAGGTTTATGGCTTTGAGCCTTGGTTTTTCATTTTACCAGTTGCATGTATGTTTGTTTGTGTGTGTATATATACTTATAATTAAAGGTTATTTTTACCTCTTTGCTTCTCATCCATGATTTCCAGTCATGCACTTTCCTGAATATTTTGCTTGCCGGTCTGTCCCTTCCTTGACTGTTTTGTCTTTAGCTTAACAGCAATCACAATATGGAGGCAATGGCATCTACTGAATATGGGAATAGTCCAGGAGCAACCCTCAGAAACACAACACATTTGAAACCTAAGATGAGTTATGAGGAAAGACCATATACATTTCAAAGTATTAGTCATGAATCTCCAATAAAGCCATTGTCTTATAGCTGAATTTCAGCCTTGAATTTTTATTTTGTTAATTTTCCAAACAGTTTTATAAACATTGTGTGTTAACTCAAATAATATGCAATGCACAAATTTTGCTGAGTCCAGACCTCTTTTGAAAATACTCATATTTTTCAAAGGGAGGAACATCTTAGATATTAGTAGCAGTTAATAGTTAATGAAGTTAAAATTAGCAAAACACCATTGTCTTTTTAGTTTTTTATTTATCTTTTGCACATGGTATGTATGTTTTCTGAACACTTTGGTTATAAAAATCTGCTCAGCCTGATATTTTTTCCAATAAAACATTCTTAAATCATACCTCTTTCAGTGAGGCTCATGAGACCCTGTTTAACAAACAAATGGAGGAGCTGTTGAGCTCTTAATTATACTCACTTAGTTTCATGAAAATTTGAGATAATGAACTTTGAGGTATTTCTTATGGGTACTAATAACAAGTGGTTGGAAATTATAGGGTTCTCTATGCCTTGCTGCTATTTTCTTGTTAATTATACTTATTACTGTGAAGCTCTATTGCAGCAACATATGTATAAACTAAATACACTCAATTAATTTGCACTATTTTAGAAACTGTGTTTATTAAGCAAAACAATGCCAAGACTCTCTGATAGAATTTAAATGGCTGGGCTTAGGAGATAATAGCATTTCTTTAATTGAAACCATTTCTGAAGCTTAAATGTGATGTTTATATGATATCTTTCCCTCTGTAACATCCTTATGTGGATGAAGATTATTCTGGTTAAGAAGTGAAATACTGAAAATGTCACTTGGTTTTTATTTATGGTTATTTTTTACTAAATAATTTCTGATGCTGAAATAGCCAAACATGTTTGCATGTAAAATTAAGCTTGGTACCATCAAGGGTAGTAAATATTAAAGTGAAGGAAATAAGAACGTTTGGGGAAAAACTCTTGAGTTCTTCTTCTGTTTCTCTTGGGAAATTTATATTCCAGTACTAGCATTATCTATGCATATGCCCACTTTCTCTAGCAGATTTTGACCTCTCTGGGCAAGAGCTGAGCTTTGTTTGTATTTTCTACACGGCACTGAGCCCATGGTATAGAATATAGTGAGTGTTTTATAAAATAATAATGAATAAGGGAAACTCTCCAGGACCCTGGGTCAAGATGAACTGAAAAATATAGCCTATAAATTGTGATATACTTAACTGAAATAAATAGTTTAACAGAGAAAGTGAGGAGTTGAGCAGAACAAAGGGTGGTAAAAATGTGTTTCAAATAAGATGTGAGGGATCCATAATTCAGCCTCAGGAGAGAAAAGATGTCGCCACTAGTTCAGGGGTTAAAACTATATTTCTGTCTATATGAAATAGTTGAGTGTGTTTGGAAGGTGGACGGCACCAGGTCAAAGTGTCCTGCTAGCTTCTCCTAAACTCTAAATAGCATTGTCCTAGCAATGTTAAACATGCCCAGTCCTTTATACTGAGGAGGAGTCATCTAGGCTGTCTTAGTGTACAGGAAGGATTTTGGGTTAAACTCAGTATTTAGTAAAGTTTAAATGAACTTTTTCAAAATAGCAAGAAATGCTTGACTTTGGTAGCTATGCTATCCAGGTTGATTGGAGTTTCATAACATAAAACTAAAAATTCATTTCTACTAGTCATGCATATTGAAATCTACATTTAGTATATGATACTGAGGATGATAAAGTGGCAGGAGGAACCCTGCAGATATGAAATGCAACATAGTAAGATAAAAATTACATGAATTTTATATGAAGACTCCTAGGTTTGAGTCCTAGCTTTTCTATTTACAGTTGTGTAATCTTAAAGAGGCTGTTTTTATCTCTTTGTTTCTTAGTGTCTTTGTATGTATAATTAAGATTTTATTGTTAACTGTGAAGAACTAGAAAACAGGGCTTCTGAGTATTTGAAAGCCCAATAAATGTAAAGTACAAGAGGAGAAAATGAGGTATGGTCTTAAGAAGGTAAACCCCTGATTTCTTTGGTGGTAGGGAGTAGATGGGAGAGAGAGGGCAAAAAGGAAAAAAGAGAAGTGAGAGGGAGAAAGAATGAAAGAGGGGGAGGAGAAAGAGAGAGAAAGAGAGAGAGAAAGATGTGGATCTGGTAAAGATTTCCTTCTGAGAGTAGGACTTCATTATGGAAAATGCTCTGGGATTTTTTTCGAAATGGTTACTTTATTTCTTCCTCTGCCAGAAACAACGTGTCACAGAATTAAAATAAATTAAAAAATGTTTCCTAGCCATCAACAGATAATATATCCAGAATATTTTTCAATGGCCTGAAGTGTAATGCCTTGACATTATCATCTAAGAAAGATTAGCTTAGGCTCATTTCTCCAAAGAAGTGAAGTAGTATTTTGTATAATTACCTAGTGCATTTAACTTTTATTACAAATTATTCATATAAATACCATTTCGGCCCTACTTGATTTAATCTTATATTATTTCCCAAATTTTTAACCTTATTATACCCTTAATTGCCAATTTTGCTTTTTCTTCTTTTCTCTCACCACTAAATCTGTGTCCAATTCATTTCTTTTAAGTTCTTTGTCTGGGCCCATGAACTAGTGTTGCTGATTGAGGATATGCAATTATAATATCCAGTATGGCAAGTTTATATAGACATATATTTAACCCAGTTTCCATTTGCTCCAAGAATTGTCTGTAACCATCATATACATTTCTGTTATATTAGGATTAGAGACAAGTTCTGTTTAGAAATAACTCCAAAAACAGTTTTTATACATTATTTTCACATTGAAAATCAGTCAGATCTGCTCCAGCCTCAAAGATCATGTTTATGTAAAATTAAATGAGTGCTGGCAGCAAGCTGCACTTTTTTTTTTCCTAAATAGGAAATAGGTTAAGCTCTCTAATTCATTTCTAGGCCATGTCCAGTCTTTTAATGAGCATATCAAAGACATTCTCTGTTTCTGTTACAGGGTTTTTGATCTCTAGAATTTTCTTTCCATTTTTTTTTTCATGGAGTTTCCATCTCTCTGCTTACATTATTCATCTGTTCTTGCATATCTATTTTTATGTTTTCCATTAGAGATCTTAATATAAGAATCAAAGTAATTTTGACTTCCTTATCTGATAATTCTGTGTCATATCTGAGTTTGGTTCTGATGCTTGCTTTGTTTCTTCAGATTGTGCTTTTTTGCCTTTTAGCATGCCTTGTATTTTTTTATGAAAGCCAGATATGATTATTAGGTAATAAGAACTGAGGTAAATAGGTCTTTGGCATAAGAAGTTATGTTTATCTGGCTAGAAGGTAGGCTGTTTTCAATATTTGCTGTGACTGTAGGAGCCAGAGCGTCAGACTCCTCTAGAGTCCTGGTTTTTGTATCCTCTGTTGTCTTTGTGTTTCCATAGAGACTCCTTTTTATTTAGGATCTGAGCTTTATTTAGGATCTGCTGTTCCTTTAGTTGTATTCATTGTTATTATACAGGAGTCCTGTTGATGTGATGGTAAGGGGTGTGTGTGTGTGTGTGTGTGTGTGAGTGGGTGGGTAAGTGTTCTATTATACTGCAATTGGGACTCAGTCTTTTTGTGTGTCTCCATCCCTGGGCTGTTGCCTTTCAGGAATATTTCTTAGCTTCCTTTCCACCCTTTAGATGAGGTAGGAAGGCTAAATGGAGCTGGAGTGGGGTAATTGGCCTTCTCCCAGTTCAGATATGGACCTGGTAAAGATTTCCTTCTGAGAGTAGGACTTTCTTATGGAAAATGCCCTGGGATTTTATTCAAAATGGTTACTTTATTCTTTCCTTTGCCATAAATATGAGGATTTCAAAAAAAATCTTTACAGAGTGAGACTCCATTAGGTAAAACCTGTGAAAATATGGGAGTCGCTCTAGGACTGAAACCCTCGGAATTGTCACTTTCACACTAGTCTCCAGCAATTCATCAAAATTACTATTTAAGTATTCACACCAGTTTGTGGCCTAACAGTTCTGTTCCTGTTAAATTGATCTTGGCTGTGATTGCCTGTATTTGGCTATGAATCTCTGTATTCTCCAATCTCTCCAGAGTCTGGGGTTTGCCCTGTTACTTCAATTCTCTGATGCATCTGAGAAAATTTGTTGATTTCAAGTTTGTTCAGCCTTTTTCTTATTGTAATAATGGGAGTGACAACTTTGAAACTGTTTACATGTTGGAGCTGAAAATGAAAGTCCCTCTGATAACCAGATAGGGCCACCTAAAATCATGCTCATTAGGCAGAGCAAGCTGGTCTAGGCACTGCAAAACATATCAACTCAGGTGAGTTGGTTAAAATGAGTGAAGGATGAAATAAAATCTATCAATTCACCTCCTAGTGCAGAGACTTGCAAAAAACTCATAAAAAATATGGGATGATTTCTTACAGTCCTAAGCAAAAGACATAGTCATACGATAGTTCTATCTTTTGTGTTTCTGTAGCACTTTCACTTTACATATTTTATGATTCATATTGTGTTATAGTTGGCTCATTATATGTAAGCTTTTTGAAAGACTTCAAACTAGCATGAACAAGACCACTATTAGAAGAGATTACAACTGATAAACAATATTGTGGAAACAAATACACAGTGTGTGATTGAGAGTATAGCCAAAACTATCTGCATTTTAAGTTTTTTACTTTTATATGACCATCAAATATTTAGCCCATAATAATGTGGATCCAACCCCACCAATTCTCATAAAGTACTTTTACAAAGGCCTCTACAAGTTAATTTTTCTTCTTCTAAGTTTCACCACTTAACCAAACTATAAGCTAATCACCTGTATGACTATCTCTATTCTCACTAGATAGGAGGCTTTTTGAAAGCAGGAGTGATGTTATGAGCCTGTTGTATTGCTGGCATCTAGCACAATGTCTAACACATAGTAGGTTTTAATAAATACTTTATAAGTGAATTAATGAATGAAGGTCACTAATACCAGAACTACAATGTTCTATACATACACAAAAAAAGGGCTGACCTTATCAGTAAAGCACCACGAACATATTGTGAAACCTTTCTCCTTTTAAGGACAAACTCATTATTCTCTATTTATAGCATGCACAAGGAAGCTGACAAAATCAGGAAGAAGTAAGAAAGCATGCATCATGAACATTGGAATGTGAGACATTTCCTCCTGTATTAATCATATTTTCAGATTCTGTGTTGACTATTTGACATCTATTATTCCTAACCTCTCCATAAGCCTGCTGGATCACAGGGCCAAACTAACAACCAATATTGTTTACATCTTTACCGCAAGTTAGCTTTCATGGACATGCAGAAGTTGTATTACAATCCTCCCAACCACTAACCCTGACCTGCCTGTTTCCTCTTAGTTCCCAGTAGGGAACATTTCCACCTAGTTACTTTATTCCACGATTGTCATACAAGTATAGTCCCAGTTCCTCTGTTTGTCTGCTTTCCTACCCATGCATATGACAGACTTTGGGTAGCCTGTATGGTATGCTATGCCTCTCATTACCAGGGGAAATGGTGAGTATTAAAAACTTTCTTTCAATGGCATTTACTTCTTTGTGTCATCACTCAGTTACATGTATAAGTTAAGAAGTTGACACAATATAACCTCTCATCATCAGGGTGTGTTATGAAGTAATCTCACTTCCTTTAGCACTGAGATTTTCCTCTGCTTTCTGCTATTGTCCCCATAGGAGATTGATATGGTTTGGACTTGTGTCTCCACCCAAATCTCTTCTCAAATTGTAATCCCCAAGTGTTGAGGGAGGGACCTGGTGAGAGGTGATTGGATCATGGGGGTGGTTTCCCCCATGCTGTTCTCATGATAATGAGTGAGTTCTCTCGTGATTTGATGTTTTGAAAGTGTGACACCTGTGCCCCTGCCCCACCTGCCATCATGTAAGATGTGTCTTGCTTCCCCTTTGCCTTCTGCTATGATTTTAAGTTTCCTGAGGCCTCCCCAGCCATGCAGAACTGTGAGTCAATTAAACCTCTCTTTTTTTTTTAAATAAATTACCCAGTCTCAGGTAGTTCTTTATAGCAGTGTGAAAATGAACTAATACAGAGATATTCAGAACTGTAAGCATAATTATCAACTTCAAATGTGGAGTGCAGTTTCTTAGCCACTCTCCTTCTTTTTCCCTGCAGCCTACCCCAAATTGTAGATCATAAGTAGCTGGGCTGCAAAACTGTCTTAATAAACTTGGATTACTCCAAAAGTTTTGAATTAAAATGTTAGCACTTATTATATATTGATTAATTTAGCTTTCTAAGTGTTCTGAAAGAATACTGGGCATAAAATGTAATTGCTTTAGTTAATAGCTATTTGATTGGATGTTGAGTGTCATTTGATCGTTTACCCTTAAAGTCTTTCAAACTTTAAACTGAAATTGAAAAATGTCTGGTGGGATTAAAGTATGTGAGTAACTTTAAAATAAAAAATAAAAATAATCTGGTGAAAACCATAAGAAAATAGAGAAAGAGGGAAGAAATAGAGGAGACAGAAATCTTAAATGTAATTTTGTTTTTTCTGTAGTCATATTACATTTATGTATTAAACTTATGTTTTGCTGAATTTCTTAAATCCTTGTGTCAGTGTCTTTCATCTGCTTTTGGAAACTCTTGGCCATTTTATCTTAAATATTGTGTTTGCTTCATTCTCTTTTTCCTCTCATTCTGAAACTCCAATTATAGGTATGCTAGATCTTTTCTCTTTATTTCACATATTGCTTACATTACTTTATGTGTTATTCATTTTTGTACTTCTGTCTTTTAACACTTTTTAATTATTAATTTTTGGTAACACCAATCTTTCTTATATCTAATGTGCTATTAATCTCACCCACTGGTTTGTTAAATCAATATATTTTTAAAATCAGCTTTAGAATGTCTACTTCTTTTTTCTTATAGATTTCAATCCTCTTACATTGTCCATTTTTTGTCTATTTTCTCTATATTTGTCTCTATATTCTTGGCGTTACCAATCATAATTAAAGTCCTTGACTGCTAGTGCCAATACATGAATCACTTTTATATATGGTGTATATCTGGTATTTTCTAAATCATGAGTGGTAATTTTTTCCTCATTTATTTATTTTTTATTTCAATAGCTTTTGGGGGGTACAGGTGGTTTTTGGTTAGACAAATAAGTTCTTAGTGGTGATTTCTGAGATTTTTGTGTACCCAGAGCACCCGAGCAGAGTACACTGTACCCAATATGTAGTCTTTTGTCTCTCGCCCCCCCCCCATTTCCCCCTGAGTTCCCAAAGTCCATTATATCATTATTACGACTTCACATCCTCATAGCTTAGCTCTCACCTATAACTGAGAACATACAATATTTGGTTTCCATTCCTGAGTTATTTCACTTAGAATATTGGCCTCTAGTTTCATCTAAGTACCTGCAAAAGGCATTATTTTGTTTATTTTTATGGCTGAGTAGTATTCTATAGGGTGTATATACCACATTTTCTTTAACTACATGTTGATTGATGAAGACTTAGGTTGGTTCCATATTTTTGCAATTGCAAGTTGTGCTGCTATAAACATGTGTGTATGTGTCTTTTATAGAATGACTTCTTTTCCTTTGGGTAGATACCCAGCAGTGGACGTTCTACTTTGAAAGGTTGATCTACTTTTACTTCTTTAAGGAATAGTCATACTGTTTTCCATAGTGGTTGTACTAATTTACATTCCCACCAGCAGTGTAAAAGTGTTGCATTTTTACCACATGCATGCCAACATCTATTTTTTTTTGATTTTCTAATTATGGTCATTCTTGCAAGAGTAAGGTGGTATCACATTGTGGTTTTGATTTGCATTCCCCTGATAATAAGTTATATGGAGCATTTTTTTCATATTTTTTTTTGGCCATTTGTATACCTTCCTTTGAGAAATGTCTATTCATGCTCTTTGGCTGGGTGGTAATTTTTGATTGAATGCTGAACAACAAGTATAAAATACTGTAGTGAATCTAGATAGTATCTTCTACCAGGGAGGATTCACTATCCTTCTGGCAGAAAGAAGGGAGGTTGACCACCTTAATTCAATCAGGGGCTGGCTTGAATTAAAGCAGGATTGTGGTTATAGTAAGACTCAATCTATGTTTGTTTCATTCCATGCTCTCAAAGCATAGCCCTCCACAGGATCCAACTGATAATGTGGTATGGTAACTAGGGCTCATTTCCCTGGAAAGTCTTGTTTTAGTCCTGTGGGATTGTAGAAGCTTCCATTCTGCTTTTCAGAGGTGTTCAAGCTCAATTCTTTAATTCTTGTTCTGCATAGTTTAAACATTCACCAGATTTCTCAAGAAGCCTGTCATGTCTTCAGATCTGTCAATTCTGCAGTTAAGTCACTCTGGCTCCACATGACCACCAAAGCTTTGTTGGGTTTTATGTCCCCTACACACAGTTCTATTCCTAGCAAAGTCTGAATCTCAGATTCCAGCCCATTCTCAGAACTGGCAAACGCCTGCCCACAGGGAAAAGGTAACTGTTCCTAAGATAATTTCTTTAAAGCTTTTCTTTTCTGTAATTTTAGATCCTCCATTACTCACTGCTTCTGTTGCTCAATGGTGCCTTGAAATTAAGGACCTCTTAAAATGTACTTGGATTTATTTGCAGGTACAATTAAGACTCTTTCCAAGAGTGTTAGTTTGTCACAAACTACTTCATCCCACTTTGAAGTGGAAGGTCTGTGGGTCATATTATTTCAATCAACACCTTTATTAAAAATGTTCTCAATATTGTTTGTTCTGCAGTAATAACATTGTGAATGTAATAAAATTAATATAGTGTGTTAGTAATCTATTTAGGTTGAATAAAGTATGGATTATAATCAAATTGAAACATTTCTCTTTTAAAACAAAACTATTAAGAAACTGACATCATAGAGTGTACCTAAATAATCATAGACATAACCTCCTGATTTTGCAAATGAGAGTTTTGAGGCCTGGAACAATGCATTTTATTTACTCACTTTTTTTCTCCTACCAATGTTTAGGATGATTTTATGCTATAAAAAGTACCAGTTGCTGAGGTTATAAAAATGACAAGATAAAATCTCTACCCTGAAGTGAAAACCTTAACTTTGGTAGGGATATAAATGGTAAATAAACATGCCCAGAGCAACATAGTTACTAAAATATAAATGTCCTAGAATTATATTTGAGCATATTAGAGGTACTAACTGACTAGAGGATTCTAATAGAGTGTCATGGAATATTTCAACTGGTTCTTAGTGACTAAGATTTTATTTTGAAAAGGAAAGTAAAAGGGCATTTTAAGTGGGGGATGCCATGAGGGTCACAGATATGAAACAGCATGGAGTTTGCATTTTAGAGTGCATGATGGGTTGGTGGTAATATGTCACAGGGGTATACAAATGGAAAATCAGGGCTCATATTGTTAACGGTCCTATACACCATACATAGGAATCTGGACTTTTACTGTGGTGTCAGGGGAAACTATTAAAATGTTTCTGTAGGTGAAGCTTGATTAGAGTCAGGGTGGAAAAAAGCAAGGTTAAGTGGTTTGTATATTATTTCATAGGGAGCAGAGTTAAAATCTTGATTTAAATCCAATATTCTTATCTTTACAACAAGCTATTTATAATGAGTAAATTATACATGTGGAATGATAATAATATTTATTATAGATTTACCATATGTTAAGGGCTAAGTGTTTTATTTTTATCTTAGCTAATCATCACCAGAGGCGATGGGATAAGGAAGACTTCTATCCAGAATGACTCCTTGATTGGAAGTAAAAACAGCACTCTTGAAAGAGCCACTGTGCTTTGATCTTTGGTCCAGCCCTTGTAGATGTGTCCGCAGCTCCTATTTGCCTGGACACTGGAAGAGTCAATAAAAAGAACTGTACATTTATCATTTAAGAAACTAAGAGGTCATTTTTTGGACTTGTGACAAAACCCATTATACTGTCAAGACCACTCAGCTAGAATAAAGTAGGTGATAAGGAAAGAAAAATGGCACATGGGCAAACTTTTTGAATAAATCACATGAATGTCTTGGAAAAGTCATTACATAAACAAAAACCATGCCAATGTCAGTCCACATCATGGTGGAGCTATCAGAGAGCAACAGACCTTAGGGTACGGAGATGCAGGGAAAGGATGTCCGCCTCCCCAGCAACAGTGGAAGATTTTAACATCAACCCAGGAGATTGGCTGCTCCATCTTGAGTCTCTGCCCGGGGTAGGAGGGCTTCTGCAGGGTGAAATGAGGACTTTGTTTCTATTGATTTCTGTACTGGGTATCCAGAACCTCAAATTACTATTAACAAGATTCATGTCATTACAGTCATAATTTCCAAAGTTGCAGTGGAAATGAGGAAGACATAAGACAGATGAATTTGTTTAGGTGAGAAAATCACAAATTATCCTTCAAAAAATAGGAAACAATATGAAACCATTATTAAATGCAACAAATATGACTCTTGCTCATTGATACTAATGCCTTTTGAAATCTTGTAATGAGAAATAACTTAGAAGTAAAATCACTTTTAACAGAATTAATGATTAAAGCTGTAGGTACCAGCAAAGGGTTTTGTTACAAATAGTCTGGAATGTATGATGGTATCCTCTGGTGTGTATTTCTTCTGTGGATCTAAAGGCATAACCATGTCAGTAAAGGCTTCAACTAAAGCACTCAAATTCATTGGCTCATATATTGCATTACTGTTAAATTCCTAGGCAATAAAAATGATCAATTCTGTCCCTTTGCAATATTTAATTGACAGAAGAATTGTGAGTTTTTGTAGAATGCTTATCTGTTTTATGTCAGATTTTCAGATGTGTGCATTTAAAATGGATACTGCCCAATAACAGAAAAATTCTTTCTCCTTAGAGGAAAGATAACAGAGCTCTCTAAATGTTCACAGCCTTTCTCCAGGTTTCTTCTGTTTTTATGGACTAGTTGTCAGTGCAGTAGGCCAGTCCAATTCTGTTTATTTACCATTTTCCTACAGGCAGGTGGTAATCAGGGCCAATCTACCTATATCTCCAAAAACTGTTCCGATTATCTCCAACTCCCAAAGGAATAGAAATAAGCCACTCTGAAGTCTTGAGGATTTTACATAGTTGACCTATCATGTTTCTACTGATAGAGCTAGTGAACAAGACTTTGAGGTGCTGCCTTGTTAGAACTTTGGGGATATCACACTGAATGGCTAATATAATTCAGCTTGGAAAAATTATCCTTAACACATAAGTTTATGGCCAGTCTAAGTACCTGTTCCATGAATAGTCAAAAGGAGATAAGACAGTGGAAAAAGGAAGATAAGAAAAAGAATAAGAAAAGAAGCAAAGAGAAAGGAAAGCAAACAGAGGGGAATTTTAAATCAAGTTGATTTATGGGAGGCATGGATTTCACTCAACAGTTGATAAGGGTCCTGACAGCAGACTAGAAATAAATTATTTCTCAAAAAGAAATGGCACCGGAGGTTTCTCACTGAGAAAGAGAAATGAACAACATAAAGAATAAAAAATTGAGATAGTTGTTTAAAAGAAATAAAACTCCATGGAAGATAACCTTGGTGTTCACAATTGCTATTCAAAGATGCACATCTTTTAGAGATGAAATGAGAATACTGTGAACATCAGGAGACTGTTTTACTATTTTATCTTTTACTTAAACAGACCACATAAGGGTACTAGGTAACATTATTCTATTGAAGCTTGTATGGAAAAATCAAGAGAATATAAATGACAGTTTGCCACTGAGAACTTGCTTATTCAAGGATAATTTCTAAATTACTTATGCCCCCCAGTTAGAAAAATTTCCTGTTTTCAATAATACTATGTTTTTATTTTTGAAGATTGGCTGCTAGCTTCTATTTATTAAATGCTCATGACTACCTTTGCATTTGTCTAAGATGTACATCTTGAATTTATGGATGATGTATCAGTCAGGACCCAGCAGGAAACAGATGGCATCCTAAAAACGGTTTACTTAGAAATAATTTAATAAAAGCTACGTACAAAAGTGCGTCCAGGGTGAAGGAAACCAGTAAGACATAGGTGAGGCAGCCAGACACTATCAACAAGAAAGGCAGTTACAATTGCTAGGCAGGAAAGAGCTAAAGTTGCAGCAGCCACTGCCAGAATTAAACTCTGAGTAGAATGGGATGCAGGTCAGTAAATATTCAGCCTCTCTCTTCTCATATTTTGATTTCCTCTTAGAGACTCCTATTGATTAAGCCCAACAGGAAGTCGGGAGGCAAGGGAGCCTAAGTAAGGGTGTCTATAGAGGTTTCAACCCCTGAAATAGAGCACAGAGAAAGAGGAGTTATTTGGCATGTAAGATAATTGATTAAATTTGGGAAATAATTTAGTTGATGCACCTGCAGAAATCCAGATGAATGTTTTCAGTTGGAGCAGAGGAAATAGTTAAGCCTAGAAATATAAATTTAGAGGTAATCAACTATTTGTCCTTATATTCAGGCTTAAAATTAGAGCTCTGCCTTAAGTTTTTCCTTTGTTATTTTTATCTATATACGTTGGATGAGCCTATCTACTTCCAAAGTTTAAATTCCCAATTTTTGTGACTATAATGTCACATTTATTTATCAAAGCAGGACCCTTGGTAACACATAGTAGGCAATATTTGTTATATCAGATTTGGTTATTGAAAGTACTTGAAGACAATGCAGTTCTTTTTCCTTCTTATTTATTTTTAATTGACAACTAAAAATTGTATATTTTTATGGTATACAAAATGATGTTTTGAAATGTATATATATTTGGAATGGCTAAATCAAGCCAATTAACATATGTATTAACTATATATATGCATATAACTATCTCATATTTATTTGTAGTAAGAACACTTCAAATCTTCTCTCTCAGCAATTTTCTAGGATACAAATATTATTAACTATAGTCACCACATTGTACAATAGATTTCTTGAACTTATACTCCTTTATAATAGATTTTGTGTCCTTTAGCCAACATCTCCCTATCCCTACTCCTAATCCCAGACTCTAGTATCCACTATTCTATTCTCTGCTTCTATGAATTTGACTTTTAGACTCTACATGTAAGTAAGATCATGCAGGTTGGTTTTTCTGTGCCTGGCTTATTTCACTTAACATAATGTCCTGTGGATCTATTCATGTTGTTGCAAATGGCAGAATTTCCTTCTTTTTAAAGACTGGATAGTATCCATTGAGTATATATACATCACATTTTCTTTATCCATTCATCCATTGATGGACACTTAAGTTGATTCCATGTCTAGGCTGTTGTGAATAATGCTACTATGAACATGGGAGTGCAGATATCTACTAATTTTATTTTCTTTGGATACATACCCAGTAGTAGAATTGCTGGATTATATAGTAGTTCTATTTTTAACTTCTTGAGAAATCTTTATACTATTTTCCATAATGGCTGCACTAATTTACATTCTCACAGTAGTGTGCAAGAGTTCCTGTTTCTCCACATTCTTGCCAACACTTACGTTTGGTTTTTATGATGTTGTTGTTCATAGCCATTCTAACAGGTATAAGGTGATATCTCATTGTGGTTTTAATTTGCATTTCCTTGATGATTAGTGATTTTGAAAAAATTATTTATATACTTGTTGGCCATTGTATGTTTCCTTTTGAGGAATAGCTATCTAGGTCCTTGGTTCATATTTAAATCTGGTTATTTGTTTTCTTGCCATTGAGTTGTTTGAGTTCTTTGTATATTTTGGATGTTAACCCTTATCAGATGTATGGCTTGAAACTACAGTCTCCCATTACATAGGTTATCTCTTCATTCTGTTGATTGTTTCACTGGCTGTGAAAAAGTGTTTTGGTTTGATATAATTCCATTGATCTATTTTTTGCTTTTGTTTTCTGTGCTTTTGGAGTTATAGCCAAAAATATCATAACCTACACCAATGTCATGAAGCATTTCTCTTATGTTTTCTTCTAGTAATTTTACAGTTTCAAGTCTTATGTTCAAGTCCTTTTGTACTTTGAGTTGATTTTTATATGTGATGTGAGATGACAGTATAATTTCTTTTTTCTGCATATGGATAACCAGTTTTCCCAAGACCAAGAAGAGACTGTCCTTTCCCCATTGCATGTTTTTGTCCTCTTTATTGAAAATCAATTGACTTTAAATGTGTGGATTTATTTCTGGACACTCTATTCTGCAATGTTGATCTATTGTCTGTTTTTATGCCAGTACTATTCTGTCTTGATTACTATAGCTTTGTTGTATATTTTGAAGACAGGTAATGTTGAGATGTGAAGCCAGCTGGACTTCCTGGGTCGAGTGGGGACTTGGAGAACTTTTCTCTCTAGCTAGAGGATTGTAAATGCACCAATCAGCATTGTGTCTAGCTAAAGGATTCTAAATGCGCCAATCAGCACTCTGTAAAAATGCGCCAATCAGCACTCTGTGTCTAGCTAAAGGATTGTAAACACACCAATCAGCACTCTGTAAAATGGACCAATCAGCTCTCTGTAAAATGGACCAATCAGCAGGATGTGGGCGGAGCCAAATAAGGGAATAAAAGCTGGCCACCTGAGCCAGCAGCGGCAATCCGCTCAGGTCCACTTCCACACTGTGAAAGCTTTATTCTTTCACTCTTCACAATAAATCTTGCTGCTCCTCACTCTTTGGGTCTGCACTACCTTTATGAGCTGTAACACTCACTGCAAGGGTCTGCAGCTTAATTTCTGAAGTCAGCAAGACCACAGACCCACCAGGAGGAACAAACAACTCCAGATGCACCACGTTTAAGGGCTGTAACACTCACTGCAAAGGTCTGCGGCTTCACTCCAGAAGTCAGCGAGACCACCAACCCATGGCAAGGCAGAAATTCCAGACACATCTGAACATCTGAAGGAACAAACTCCAGACACACCATCTTTAAGAGCTGTAACACTCACCATGAGGGTCTGCGGCTTCATTCTTGAAGTCAGCGAGACCAAGGACACACAGGAAGGAACCAATTCTGGACACAATGTGATGCCTTCAGCTGTGTTCTTTTTTCTGAGCATTGCTTTGGCTATTTGGAGTCTTGCGGCTCTCTACAAATTTTCAAATTTTTTTCCATTTCTGTGAAAAATTTTATTAGAATTTTGATAAGGATTGCATTAAATCTGTAGATTTTTTGTATAGTATAATTAATTATAATTTATATTAATTAACAAATTAATTAATAATTGATTTATTATAAAATTATCGATTTTAGTAATATTAATTATCCCACTCCATGAACCTGGGGTATCTTTTCATTTATTTGTGTCTTCTTCAACTTCTTTCATAAGTGTTTTATAGTTTTCAGTGTACACTTTATTTTTCAGTTTCACCTCCTTGGTTAAATTTATTTCTAAGAATTTCATTTTTTTGTAGTTATTGTAAATGAGAGTTTTTTGATGGTTTTGGTTAGTTCACTGTTAGCAGATAGAAATACTATGACATTTGCATGTTGATTATGTATCCTGCAACTTTACTGTATTTGTTTATTGGTTCTAACAGGTTTTTTTTTGGTTGAAACTTAAGGATTTTCTGTATATATGATCATGCCATCCATGAACAGAGACAATTTCTTCCTTTCCAAACTGAATGCCTTCTATTTAACTTTTCTTGCCTAATTAATCTGGCTGAAACTTCCAGGGCCATGCCAAATAGAAGCGGCAAGAGTTGGTATTTTTGCTCTGTTCTTGATCTTAGAGGAAAAGTTTTTAAATTTTCACCACTGATTATGTTAGCTGTGGGCTTCTCATATATGGCCTTTATTGTGGTGAGGTACATTCCTTCTATATCATCTAGTTTGTTGAGGGTCTTTTTATTATCACAAAAAGATTTGCATTTTGTACTGTTGACTTTGGCTTGCTAGTACAGTTGTCCCTTGGTATCCATGGGGGATTGGTTCCAGGATCTTCTGTCAATACCCAAATCCATGAATGCTCAAGTATCTATATAAAATGACATAGTATGTGCAGATGACCTGTATGTTTTGGTTTGTATGCTTTAAATCACCCCTAGATTATTTAAAACATCTCAAACAATGTAATTACTATGTAAATAGTTGTTATTCTGTATTGCTTAGGAGAAAATGACAAGAAAAAAAGCTGTACACATTCAGTACTAATGCATTCGTTCTTTTTTCCCCAAATATTTTCAATCTATGATTGAATCCATGGATGCAGAACCCATAAATATGAGGGTCAGTTATATTTTGTTGAAGATTTTTGCATCTCTGTTTGTCAAGGGTATTGGCCTGTAATTTTCATTTCTGTAGTGTCATAGTCTGGCTTTGTTATCAGGGTAACCCTCGCCTTGTAAAATAAGTTTAGAAGTATTTCTTCTCCTTCATTTTTTGGAAACGTTTGAGAAAGATTGGTTTTAGTTATTTTAAAAATCTGATCCTGGACATTTATTTGATGAGAGACTTTATATTATTGATTCAATCTCTTTACTTTTTTTTTGGTTTAGATTTTTCAGTTTAGATTTTCTATTTCTGATTCAATCTTGGTAGGTTGTACATTTCTAGAAATTTATCCATTTATTCTAGTTTATCCAATTTATTGGAATATATTGCTTATAGTAACCTTTTATAATCCTTTGTATTTCTATGGTATCAGTTGTAATGTCTCCTCTTTCATTTCTGATTTTATTTATTCGAGTCCTCTTTCTTTTTCATTTCTTAGACTACCTAAAATCTTGTCAATTTGTTTATTTCTTCAAAAAGCAACTCTTAGTTTTATTGACTTTTCTATTATTTCTCATGTCTCTCATTTAGTTCTTCTCAGATCTTGGTCATTTTCTTCTTCTGCTAACTCTGGTCTCAGTTTGTTCTTCTTTCTCTAGTTCCTTGAAGTGTATAGTTAGGGTCCTCATTTGAGATCTTTTTTTTTTTTTCTTAATGTAGGCAGCTATTACTACAAAATTCCCTCTTAGAACTATGTTGCTACATTCCATTGGTTCTGGTATTTTGTGTCTCCATTTCTGATTGTCTCAAGATATTTTTTGTTTCTCTTTTATTTTTTTCCTCAGTTGTTCAGGACTATGTACTTTAATTTCTCCCTATTTGTGAATTTTCCGGTTTTTCCTCTATAATGATTTTCTAGTTTCATACCATTGTGGTCAGAAAAGATACTTTATGTGACAGATTTCACTCTTTTTAAGTTATTAAGACTTGTTTTGTGGCCTAACACATGATCTGCCCTGGAGAATTCTTTGTGTGCTCTTGAGAAGGATGAGTATTCTGATGCTTGTTGATGGATATTCTGTATATGTCTTTTAGGTACATTAGGCTTAAAATCTTGTTCAAGTACGAAGTTTACATGCTGATTTTCTATCTAAATGATCTGTCCATTGTTAAAAGTGGGATACTGAAGTCTCTGATTATAACAACTGTATTGCTATTTCTGTCTTCAGATCTATTAATATTTGTTTTATATATTTATGGGCTTTGATATTGAGTGTATCTATATTTACAGTTATTATATCATCTTGATGAACTGACATCATTTATCATTATATAATGACCCTTTTTGTCTCTTGTTACAGTTTTTTACTTAAAGTCTATTTTGTCTCCTGTAAGTATAGCACTTTTTTGGTTTTCATTTGTATGGAATATCTTTTTCCATTCCTTCACGTTCAACCTATGTAAGTCCTTGAAGATAAAGTAAGTCTCTTATTGGCAACATAGAGTTAGGTCTTGTTTTATTTATCCATTCAGCTACTCTATGTCTTCTGATTGGACATTCTAATCCATTTACATTTAAAGTAATTCTTGATAGGTAAAGACCCACTATTGCCATTGTCTTAATTGTTCCCTGACTGTTTTGTACCAATTTTCTTTCTTTTTCCTCTCTTGTCTCCCTTTGTTATTTAAAAATTGTTTTAGTGGTATGCTTTAATTGCTTTTTCTTTATCTCTTGTGTATCTACCATAAGTTTTTGCTTATTGGTTACCATGAGGCTTTTGGAAAGCATCATATTGTTATGGCAGTCTACTATAAACTAACACCTTAACTTTAATTGCATAGGAATCTTTCACTCCCCTTTCCCCACATTTTCTATTTTTGATGTCATAACTTACTTTTTTATATTATGTTTCCATTAACAAAATACTGTAGCTAAGGCTATTTTTAATACTTTTTTTAACCTTTATACTAAATTTAAAGGTGATTACACATCACCACTCCAGTATTCAAGTATTCTGAATTTAAGTATATACTTACTTTTACCAATCAATTGTATATATTTTGTTACAAATTATTGTCCTTTTGTTTCAGCTTAAAGAACTTCCTTTAGCGTTTTTTTGTAAGGCAGGTCTAGTGGTGATAAACTCCTTCAGGTTTTACTTTTCAGGGAAAGTCTTCATCTCTCCTTTATTGCTGAAGCACAGGTGCCCCAGGTAAAGTATTCTTGGTTAAAAGTTTTATTCCTTCTCTACCAAAAATACAAAAAAAAAAAAAAAAAAGCCAGGCGTAGCAACTCGGGGGGCTGAGAATGGCATGAACTCAGGAGGCAGAGCTTGCAGTGAGCTGAGATCACACCACTGCACTCCAGCCTGGGTGACAGAGTAAGACTCCAGCTCAAAAAGAAAAAAGGTTTTATTCTTTCAGCACTTTGAATACATCATCCCATTTTCTTCTGCACTGCAGGTTTCTACTGAGAAATTTGCTGATAGCTTTATGGAAATTTCCTTATATGTGGTGAGTTACTTTTCTCTTAATGTTTTTAAAATGGTCTATTCGTATTTGACTTGAATAACTTAATTATAATGTGTCTTTTGAAGTTCTCTTTGAGTTGCACCTGTTTAGGAACTTTTGATCTCATGTATCAGATGTCCATATCTCTTGGGAATTTTTCATTTATTATTTCTTTAAATAAGCTTTCAGCCCTTTTCTCTATTCTCTGTTAATGGTGTCCTATAAGTCTGATAGGCTTTCTTTACTCTTTCCATTTCTTTTTTTCTTTGTTTTCCTCTGACTAGGTAATTTCAAAAGACCTGTCTTCGAGTTTACAGATTCTTTTTCTACTTGATTTATTCTGCTGTTGAATCTCTCTATTACATTTTCATTTTATTTATTGAATATTTTGCCTCCTGGATTTCTGTTTAGTTCAGTTTTTATAATTCTATTTCTTTTTTGAACTTCTAATTTTTTTCGTTTTTAAAATAATATTGTTGAGTTGTCTGTGTTCTCTTATATGCCACCGAGCTTCCTTAAAATAATTTATTTGAATTTCTTTTCAGGCAATTCATAAGTTTCCAGAAAATTATTGTGTTTGATGGTGTCATGTTTCTTGCTTTTTCATGTTTCTTGTGGCTTTGTGTTGGTGAATGAGCTTTTGAGAAAGCAGTCACTTCCTTGAGACATTATATACTGGCTTTGGTAGAGAAAGACTTTCACCTGCAGGTGAGTGTGAAGGCACCAACTAGGTGGGATACAGCAAGTCTGGTTTCAGAAAGGGCATTGTGGCATAGTTTATGTATAACTCCATCACCTGATATCAGCATTGGCAAAGATTGAGGTGTCCTCAACACTCTAAACTGTAGGTGTCTGTTGTAGCAGTGGCAGTAGCAAGCCTTGTTTGAAAAAGTGGCAAAGGCTGCTGTGGTTCTCCTTTTTTTTTTTTAACCCCTGCAGGGGAAGTCATAGCTGCAGGGATACTTGTTTGTGTGAACTCTGGTGTGCAGGTACACAGGCAGCCGTAACAGCACAAATTCTGGGGCCCAGGCACACTTCTCCCAGAAGTAGTGCTAGTGTTCAGGTTGCAGGCACTCAAAATGACGGTGGACTGGGTTCCTGGGCTCTGAGGCACACAAAACTACCATGATGCCCAGGTCCTTGGATGTAGGTACACTCACTACAGTGTTGGCACCAGTATCTAGATCTGAGCTGAACATGATTGATTTCAGAGACAACCTTAAAAAAATTCTGTTGAAATATGGACATGGCATATCAGCTATAAGCAACTGAGGAAAACAGGTCGTTAGTGTGAAGTTTTATGTTTCTCTGGCTAGGAGTTAGGCTATGTTTACTGTTTGCTGTAATAACAGGTGCCAGAGGCTTAAGTTTTCTCTAGTGTCTTTGTTTTATTCTTCTCTGTTGTCTTTGAATTTCTTTAGAGACCCCTTCTTAAATTGGGTCTCAGCCTTGCAGTTCTTACAATGTAATTCCCTGTTATTTTACGGGATCCTGATTGGTGTGCTGGTAAATTGTGGGGAGAGGGAAAATGTCCTCTAATTCTGTAATTAAGTTTTAGTCTTTTATTGGGATCCTAGGCTGGGATCTTCACAAGAGCTTCTGAGTTTGTTTTTTTTCTCTTAGATGAGATAGGAAGACTAGAGAAACTACAGTTCAGTATTTGTCATCTTCCAGATCAGTTAGGCTTTAGTAAAACTCAAATCAGTCTGTGATAAATAGTTTCCCTTGAGGGTAGGTGTTAAAGAGAACAGAACACTCTGGGACTGTTTAAAAATGGTTATTTTCTGCTTGCTCCTGTCAGAAGCACAAAAGGAATCTTTCTCTGATCTTTACCCTGAGCATGTAGTTTGGGCTCCTGGATGTGAAAGTCATGAATTTGTGGGGTCCTCTGAGGCTGTGCCTGCAATTTTTGTCTCTCAAGATAGTCCATGCTTTTTCTCCAGCAATTAGTCAGTTACCCTTTAAGTGTTCCTACCAGCTGCTGGCTCTAGCAGCAGCTTCTGTTTCTTTCTGTTTCTGGTGAGCTGTGATTCTCTTTATCCGCACGTCTCCCCAGCTTTCAGGACAGTTGTTTGCCCAGTAACCTGGGCAATCTAAAAATGGTTGTTTATATTCTCTTTTTTCCCCAAATTATTTATTATTATTATTATTATTATTATTATTATTGTGAGCAGGACTGACTTTTGAGTTCTTTACATGTCAGGCCAGAAACTGGAAGCCCTAGTTTCTTTGCTCAACATTCCTTCTGGAATTAAGGGTGCTGATTTGTACCCCTTTCCTCCACCATTGTCTTTTACTGAGGGTCTGTTGTTCACTAAGTTAGTTTTTGTACCTCTACAAAGTTTTATTTCACCCTAATTCTTGAAGAATACTTTTTCTAGATATAGAATTCTAGATTGGATTTTAAAAATGTTTTCACTTGGACAACTTCTTGAATCAGTGCTTTCATCTCTTCTCAGAAATTCTTAACTATTATCTATTCAGATTCTGTATCTCTCAATTTCTTTATTATCACTTTCTTGAACTCTCCTTCAACATATGTTAGAACATTTTATACTATCTGCCCTATTTTGTACCCTTTCATTTTCTTCCATCCCACGTTTTTTTTTTCTTTACTGCACTCTCAATCCTTTCAGGTTGAATTTCCTATTTATTAATTTCTTTCAATTTTTCTCCCCTCTGGCATTTATCCTATTCGTTTTAGTTTCAAATAAAATATTAATTTTTAGTCATTATTTTTCAAAGATGTTTGGTCAATTTTTATAGTTACATATTCCTTACTTATGTTTATAGTTTTCTGTTTTATTTCTTTAAGTATATTTGACATATTTACTTGGCATTCTTTGAATAGTAATTTAAATGCTAAATTTTTGCAGATTTGATTCTGTTGTTAGTTATTTTGGAAAGTTTTTTTTTTCCTCATACCCTGATTCCTTATATGTTTTATATGTACATTTTATTGTGGTCCCTTGGAATTTTATCATTTTATAAAGTTTCTTTAGAAGGTAAGTTTTTTCAAAGGACATTGACTTTTTAAAATGTGTTAAGTAGTTTTAATTCAACATCCTTTTTAATGAAGAAAACTTATGGGTTGTTGTTTATTTGTTTGTTGTTAGGTGAGGAGCAAAATAAAACAATCATTCTAAACTCTTTTACTATGAATTCTGTGGTTGAAATGGATAGGACTGCACAAGTAATATAAATAATTTTAGGCCACAAACATGCAAGATTTCTGATGCTCAAGGGAGACTCCACCCCTCAGTATACTCTGCTATCTAAATCTAAACTGAATTTATTTGGAGTATCTTTCCATATGCCAACTTATTTCTAGTTTATTTTATTCTTTTCCAAAATTACCAGCTTTATTTGTAGATCTTATTAGATCTTGAACCTGTTGGTCTCAGGCTTTATATTTGGTCTCCCATGTCACATGTGGTCATCAAAACAGAAACTTCATTTTTTTTAAAACTCTTGATGCTATAATAGTTATTTACATTTAGAAAAAGTATCTTTTTTTTTTTTTAGATTCAGTGGTACATGTGCAGTTTGTTACATGGATATATTGCATGATGCTGAGGTTTGGGTTACAATTGCCCAGGTAATGAACATAGTACCCAATAGGTAGTTTTCCAACCCTTACCCCTGTCTGTCTCTTCCACCTCTTAGAGTCCCCAGTGTCTATTGTTCCCATCTTTATGTCCATGTGTATCCAATGTTTAACTTTCACTTATAAGTGAGAACATGTAGTGTTTGGTTTTCTGTTTCTGCATTAATTGACTTAGGATAATGGCCACCAGCTGAAGTCATATTGCTGCAAAATACATGATTTCATTCCTTTTTATGTATTCATGTAGTATTCCATGGTGTATATGCATATTTTCTTTATCCAGTCCACTGTTCATGGGCACCCAGGTTGATTCCATACCTCTGCTATTGTGAATTGTGCGCGATGAACATATGAGTGTATGTGCCTTTTTGGTAGAACTCCTTAATTTCCTTTAGGTGTATATTCTGTAATAGGATTGCTGGATCAAATGGTAGTTCTCTTTTTAGTTATTTGAGAAATCTCCAAACTTCTTTCCATGATGGCTGAACTAATTTATATTCTCACCAACAATTTATAAGCATTCTCTTTTCTCCACAGCCTCATCAACGTCTGTTGTTTTTTGACTTTTTTGATACAAGCCATTTTAACTAGTGTGAGATGGTATCTCATTGTAGTTTTGATTTGCATTTTTCTGATGATTAGTGATGTTAAGCATTTTTTCTTATGTTTATGGCCCACCTATGTGTGTTCTTTTGAGAAGTACCTACCCATGTTCTTTGCTTCACTTTTAACAGGATTGTTTTTTGCTTGTTGATTTGTTCAAATTTCATATAGATTCTGTATATTAAGACTTTTGTCAGATTCAGAATTTGTAAATATTTTCTCCCATTGTGTAGCTTGTCTGTTTACTCTATTGACAGTTCCTTTTGCTGAATTATTTGCACTTTTAATTGTTTTCATAACGAAGACTGCTTAAGGTATCTAAAGTTCTGCTTGGAATACAATTGTCTGAAATTTTATATAGGAATTTTGAATAAGGAATACCTTCTAAACCTACAAGAATGCATTTCTGAGAAAAATATTTTAAAGCTAATTTCCATTTCCTTCAATTAAGTTGCTGGTATACTCTGATAGCACTAAAAATATAATTTTTGGTGGGGTGCAGTGGCTCACGCCTGTAATCCCAGCACTTTGGGAGGCCAAGGTGGGTGGATCACGAGGTTAGGAGATCGAGACCATCCTGGCTAACACGGGGAAACCCCTTCTCTACTAAAAAATACAAAAAAAAATTAGCCGGGTGTGGTGGCAGGTGACTGTGGTCCCAGCTACTAGGGAGGCTGATGCAGGATAATGGTGTGAACCTGAGAGGCAGAGCCTGCAGTGAGCTGAGATCGCGCCACTGCACTCCAGCCTGGGCAATAGGGTGAGACTCCATTAAAAAAAAAAAAAAAAGAAAAAAAGAAAAGAATTTTTAATAAGAGTATCAATAAGCATTCTTTACAAAACATAATTTTTGCTCTAATCAAATTACATCATTAAATAATTATAGGGCCATTCTATGGTGTGCTATAGAGAGGTGTTTAGATTTCTTGTAATAAACAAACGTGGGAGAATTTTGTCTCCCATGCATATAGTAGAGTAAGGTGAGGGCAGTAAACAGTTTTTAAAAAAAAACCTGCTCGACTCTGAAAGACAACCAAGACATAAGTATTGAAATTACGAGATTTTTTTTAAGGCAATGTTGGTTGTATTGAAATTACCAATGATTTGTTAATGTTATTTGAATATTTTAATCTCTTTCCCATTCTAGTATTCAATAATGTCTCAATGCAAATGGTTGCACTAAAACGAGAACAAAGGCAATTTTAAAGATTTCACAAAATATGAAGTATAAAATTGTAAATGCTGAAATTACCACTGATAAACTGCAAGGAATGAGTTTGGGACATGAAATTTTTCACCCTAAAAGAAGGAGAATGGTAACTTTACATATTTGTTTATTTTGCTATCTCTTTAGGATCAATTTTTAAATCCAATGCCTCTTTAATGATTTGAAACAATTATGATGTGAAAATGTAAGTGGTATGTGTATAGCCAAAGGCAGAAGATCAAATTTGAAAGTAAAATGATTAGTACAGCCATTTTCTTTAGTCATTTCCATGATTTATTGTATAGATATAACTAAGAAAATAAACATTCAGACAATAGATCTACATTTAACTGCAAATGTATAATTGGTTTCATTCATTCAAATTTTAGAATATGTTATTACCTTTAGATTCAAATTTAAATTTGTGAAACTAATTTTCAACCCTCTCTTATTTTAAACTGGTAATTTTATAAATGGCAGCCAAGTGATTTCCTGATTCTATCACGAGGACTGTATCATATGGATTATCTAAAGATTATATAATAATTATGTAAGAAATAGATAAAAACTATATTACATCTAATTTTAAATATAGTTTGTGTAAAATTCAAACAAAATTATATGAACAAAGCTAGAGGTAATTCTACAGCCCTTCTACTTAACTGACTGTATATCTTTTACCTTAAAAAGAAAATATCTTTATATTTATCCACAACCATAACACTTTCCAGAAATTCAGGATAAATTTCTTCAAAGGTTTTTCAAAAGCGATTGATTAATTATCTTTATTTTTCTCCCAGAAAATATTAAAATGTTCCTGACATAGAAATTTATCAGTATAAACACATTATTTTCTGCTTCAAGTTTCCTTTCCCTGAACTTTTGGCCAAGTAGAGAGTTAAAGAAAAATATGCTATATTTTAAAGTCGAAAGTTTGCAAAAATTCTCACCCTCAGTTTTCTTTGCTCTGTGACCTGCCTCTCTTAACTCTTGGCATTTTGGAACTAGTGTTTACCTCACTATGTATGAAAACCATATTCCTTGAAACATTTCATAGTCTATTTTATAGTAAACCTATCTGTTTGTGTAAAAAGTTTTATTTTATTTTTTTTTACCAAACATAGTAAGGTTTCTAAACCCAAGAGTATTTTTTTAGAAAATGTTTTGCTGAGTATTCTCCATGTGTATTGCGCTTGAAGTGGTTAAGAAAGAAAATATTTGTCTTCAGGATGTGAGAGATGATTTAACATAAAAATGCAAATACATAAAAAAGAGAATTGGCACAAGAAAATTGATGATAAATCATGATTAAAAATAATGGTTAAATTCTGTTAAATGCATTTGCTATACATCAGTTACTTTTCCAATTTAATCCTCAGCAACACTCTGAGGTAAATATATTAATACCTGTATTTGACATATGAAAGAACAGAGGCACAGAAATATCTTACAGCTATGAGTTTCTGGAGCAGAAGGCAAACCCAGGGACTACTCCTCTTGAGTCTATATTCTTAATTGCATTTCTGCCTTTGACTGATATGAAAAATAGGTACTACAGCTTATCAAAGGAGAAGGAGTCACAGCAGCCCCTGAAATGTTTAGTCATAGCTGTGTGTTGGAGCTGGGATTTGAGATGTCACTATCTGATGAATAGTTCTAAATGATTGCTTTGCCAAAATCTAAAGTCTTAGACATCTTCTGATAAGTAGAGAGTTTTAATGACATCCTGAGGTTTTAAATTCTATTATTTTCTAAGATTTTTCTCTTTGGCAGAGGAAGCAATTTTCTCTTTGTCATTCACATGCCAGAAACATAAAGCAACTTTTTTTTGTTAACTGGAATATCTCATGCATCCGTACAGCCACACGATGCTCTGAGAATATTAAATATTCCTTTCCGCAGCATACACAATGCAGTGAATTTTATTATTTCCATTTTTAGCCAAAAAATAAAGCATAAGAAGACATAAAGAGTTATATATTCTAGACAGTGTTGAATAAGTAATGAATCTTTCTGGGTTTATTTTCACAATGTACAACCCATCAGTCATAGATTACAAATGTTTTCTTTTGATTGTTCTTCAGAGGGCTTTAATAAAAAATGAAAGCGTATCTTAAAACAATCAGTTTTCAGTCTTAAAGCTCTTTGTTGAGGATAATAAATTTATAGCATCTGAAAAGCTGGCTTTTCAGTAAACATAGAAAATTGTAGCCTTTAATTTAATTTTTCCCAATTTAATTTTTTTTTGTAATGCAGTAATAAAAAGGCTTGGTGAATAATTGTGCTTTTAGTTTTATAATATATTTTATTTCATCCAATGTTAAAGTAAGAGCATTTAGTCTTTCATCGAAAATTGTTATGTCAGCTTTTGTTTAATTTCCTGAAGCCTTCCTGCTAAGATTTCATCATATGTGCATAATAATATTTTAACTTTCTATTTAGTGGCAATTGGAAGGGAAAATCATTTACAAAGCAGTGAAAAATAAGTCTAAACTGTCACCAGATGAATAAACTAACTCCAGCTGTAGCCATGTTTTACTCCTTTCTTCTTTTTAATGTGTTGTTTCTGACTTTATTTTGTATTTAATTTTTAAATTTACAACTGACACAATGTTATGGGGTACAATGTGATGTTTCCATGCAGAATACATAGTATAATGATCAAATTGTTGTAATTATCACACTTATCACTTTAAACATTTATTATTTATCTGCAGTGACAACACGTAACATAATCTCTTCTGGCTATCTTGAAATATACACCATAACGTTATTTGCTGTAGTCACTCTAATCTGTGACAATGCCTTTTTCCATTATATAATGTCCCTCTTTGTCTCTTTTAACTGCTGTTATTTTAAAGTTTTTTTTTTTTTGTCTGAATAGCTGAATAGCTACCCCTGCTCGTTTTTTGTGTCCATTTGTGTGAATGCTTTTTCCCATTTCTTTAAGTTTATGTAAGTCCTTATGTGTTAGGTGAGTTTCTTGAAGGCAGCAAATAGTTGGATGGTGAGTTCTTATCCATTCTGCAGTTCTGTATCTTTTAAGTGGAGCATTTAGGCCATTTACATTCAATGTTAGTATTGAAATGTGAGGTACCATTGCATTCATCCTGCTATTTGTTGCCTGTGTACCTTGGTTTTTTTGTTTTTGCTTTTTAACTTGTATTTTTGTTGTATAGGTCCTGTGTGGTTTATGCTTTAAAAAAGGTTCTGTTTTGATGTGTTTCCAGAATTTGTTTCAAGATTTAGAGCTTCTTTTAGCAGTTCTTGTAGTGGTGGCTTGGTAGTGATGAATTCTCTCAGCATTTGTTTTTCTGAAAACAAGTGTATCTTTCCTTCATATATGATACTTAGTTTCACTGGACACAAAATTCTTGGCTGATAATTGCTTTGTTTGAGGAGGCTGAAGATAGGGACCCAATCCCTTATAGCTTGTAGAGTGTCTGCTGAGAAATCTGCTGTTAATCTGATAGGTTTTCCTTTTAGGTTACCAGGTGCTTTTGTCTCACTGCTCTCAAGATTCTTTCTTTCATCTTAACTTTAGACAACCTGATGACACTGTGCCTAGGTGATGATCTTTTTGTGATGAATTTCCCAGGTGTTCTTTGTGCTCCTTGTATTTGGATGTCTAGATCTCTAGCAAGGCTGGGGAAGTTTTCCTCATTCATTCCCTCAAATATGTTTTCTGAACTTTTAGATTTCTCTTCTTCCTCAGGAACATTGATTATTCTTAGGTTTGGTCATTTAACATAATCCCATACTTCTTGGAGGCTTTGTCCATATTTCCTTATTTTTTTCTTTGTCTTTGTTGGATTGGGTTAATTCAAAGACCTTGTCTTTGAGCTCTGAATTTATTTCTTCTACTTGTTCAATTATATTGCTGAGCATTTTGCATTTCTATATGTGTGTCCGCTGTTTCCTGAAGCTTTGATTGTTTTTTATTCATGCTATCTATTTCATTCTTGTATCACTTTTGGATTTCCTTGCACTGGATTTCACCTTTCTCTGGTGCCTCCCAGATTAGCTTAATAACTAACCTCCTGAGTTCTCTCTTAGGTAAATCAGGGATTTATTTTTGGTTTCATTCCATTGCTGGTGAGCCAGTGTGATTGTTGTGGGGTGAGGGAGGGGGTGTTAAAGAGCCTTGCTTTATCATATTACCAGAGTTGTTTTTCTGGTTTCTTCTCATTTGGATGGGCTCTGTCAGAGGGAAGGTCTAGGGCTGAAGGCTATTCAGATTCTTTTGTCCCATGGGGTGTTCCTTTGGTGTAGTACTCGCCCCATTTTCCTGTGGCTGTGCCTTCCTGTGAGCTGAATTGCAGTGTTTTTATTCTCTCTTCTGGGTCTAGCCACCTAGCAACTCTACCTGGCTCCAGGGTGGTACTGGGGGTTGTCTGTACAGAGTTCTGTGAAGTGAACCATCTATGGGTCTCTCAGTGGTGGATACCAGCACGTGTTCAGTGGAGGGGGCCAGGGAGTCAAGTGGACTCTGTGAGGGTTCTTAGCTCTGATGATTTAAAGCTCTATTTTTGTGCTGGTTGGCCTCCTTCTGGGAGGTGGCACTTTCCAGAGAGCATCAGCTGTGGTAGTATGGAGAGGAACTGGCAGTGGGTGGGACTCTAGAACTCCCAAGATTATATGGCCTTTGTCTTCACCTTCCCCGGGTGGATAAGGAAGGCCCATCAGGTGGGGGCAGGGCTAGGCATGCCTGAGCTCAGACTCTCCTTGGGCAGGTCTTGTTGCGGCTGAGTATTTGGGGTGTTTCCCGGGTCCTGCAGGAGCAGTCCACTTCCTTCAGAGGGACTGTGGGTCCTCTCAGGATTCCTGGTTCATTTTTGCAGTTGATGTGGAACTAATATTCACAGTGTGAGCCTCTGTACCCTACTCTGTCTGTCCGAGTCAGAGCTGCAGTTTAGTCCTGCCTCCTGTCCGCCATGACTGTCCAATAAACCTCAGCCTAATGTGTAACAGAACACCGAAACTTAATTCTTCTTATCTAACTGTAACTTTGTATCCATTATCCCAGTCACCTCCTCCTGCCTATTCTCCCCAGAGTCTGGTAAGCACTATTTTACTCTCTACTTCTATAAAATCAACTGTTTTAGGTTCTATGTATTTATCTTTCTGTGTCTGGTTTATTTCACTTAACATAATATCCTCCAGGTTCATCCATGTTGCCACAAAGGACATAATTTCATTCAGTTATATGGCTGAATAGTATTCCGTTCATGTCTATCTAGCTACCTATCACATTTTCATTATTCATTCATCTGTATATAGACATTTATGTTGTTTCCATATCTTGGCTATTGTGAATAAAATAGGTGTGATAAAAAAGACATTACAACCGATACCACAGAAATACAAAGGATCATGACAATTCTATGAACAAGTATATGCCAACAAATTAGAAAACCTAGCAAAAAACTAGAAAAAAAATTGGTAAATTCTTGGAGATATACAACTTACCAGGATTGAACCATGAAGAAACAGAAAACCTGAACAGATCAGTACTGTGCAAAACTTAAATAAATCTTCCTGTTAGTCTGATGGGGAATAAAAATATAAAATAAAATTTAAATGAATTTTTTTGTTTTAAAATTTAGTACCCAAGTCACTTTCAGTTCTTAGTAACTTGTAACTGGGATAATTTCTGAAATAGTTTTTACTGGCCAACAGAAGGTTCATATTCTTTCTTTGTATATTGAAGTAAGTTAACTACTCTGGTTGCAGCTGTTTTAGTATTTAAAAGTCATCAATATTTTCCTGAAGAGTTAATTGAATTTTAAAAATATTTGTTACATAGACACATTTTTTTATAGGGATTATACAGGAATTATATATTATCTTGACTTAAATATAAGTTAGTAGTTTTGTAGATCTGGTCATGAGTTGATATTTTATACATATATATGTATGTATTTCATAAATCTTGAAATATTTGAGATTAAAATGTATGAACCTAAATGGCTTGCATATAAATCAGATTTCATTCAAGATTTAAATCACTGAAATATAACATGAAATAAGCAGAAGCATGTAATTTGCTCAGTTGCTCCTCAAAATTGTTGAGATTTAGATCTTTTCCAAATTCAGCTGTTAGAATACCTATCAAAGCTTACTATTCAAGAACCGTTTATATGAAGAGATAATTTGATGATGTTACACTTACTTTGCAGATAAAATTTAGCTTTCATAGAGACAGAGAAAATAAGAGTCAAGCAGTTATCTGTGCAATACTCCTAGATCATTACTCTTAGCTTTGTGTCACTGTGATACCAAAGTTGAAAAATATTGAGCATTTCAACTGGTTGTATTATACTCTTAAAATAAAAAATAGTGTTTATCATTCTCCTTTTAAAAATTATGTAAACATGATAATGTCAAAGATAAACAACATGAGGAAGGGAATGCTGAGATTTCTACTTTCCCCTCTGGCATATTGAGTCAATCATTATCATTCATAGAGTGCATTAAAAATACATCCACTCTTGAGTATTCTGACTTTTGCTTTTACAGATGACACTGGGTCTCAAAATAGCTCATTGATGATTACTGCAAATAAGCTAAAAGACATTATCTCTTTTAGTCTCACAGAATTTTTCATACAGTTTTAATCTCCTGAGGTTGAAAAACTTGAAAATTGAAATGCATGTAAGAACAAATCACATAAGGAAAACAAAAACAATACATTGAAATTGGAATGGCTCTCATTTAAAATACATGAAGTCTAAAAAGTCTACAAATTGCTTTATTTCAGTATGATGAAAGACTAATATTTCCTATTTTACATCAGGAAATATTTGAAGTCTAAGAGTCCACAGCCTTCCTTGTACGTTATCACATTTAAATCTCACAATAACCCTACAGGGTAGAAACTATTAATAAGGGTACATACCAATGAGGAATTCATAGCTCAAAGAAGTTAAATAGCATGTACAATGTTAGACAACTGTATTAAAGTGGTAACACAAATAATTCATAAAATATACCAAACCACAAAATATGCTTTGAGTCACAGTTGGTTCTAAATAAATAAATGCATTTCTTTTTTTCTTTTTACCTCATTCACTGAACTTAAGAATTTTCTAAGTTCATAACAAATGTTAAATACAAAGGTTTTGTCATATTTTTACTAAGATGGTGAACATGAAACATGCCTATGTGTGACACTGCAAGTCCCCATGACTTCCACCCTCTTCTCCATTCTACTATGGAAATATGTCCCCAAATTTGACCTGGTTTTAAAGAACTAGGACAGTTCTGGGTTTCTTGGAGTCAGGGCATATAGGAAAACAAATGTTGCCTTTTCCTATGGCAATCTTAATACAAATCTTTATGTTGACACATTTTACTTATGTCTTTCCTTTTTATTTCACTTTGCCTTAAGGCAAAGATGAGACAACAAAGACATGGAAACAGTTTCATTCTTTAAAGTATTTGGTGCTATACAGAGGCAGAAATACAACTTTCAGACTTCTTGGTTTTCTTTCCACCTCCTTACTCTGAGACAGAGATCCAGTTTATATGTACATTCTATCTTATAAATCAACACTGACAGTTGTATAATTTTAAATGTAAACAAGGACAAAAAAGAATAGAAAATAAGCACATTTTAGGACACAGAATAATCAAAGCCAACATATTATAATATTTAGTTTATTGCAATATTGTGGAGACAACATGTACTCTCCCACTACTCTGCCCAACACAAAAAAACAACCTAGAAACAGCAAATACTATTAAAATATGAATTTAAAATATTAGATGTGGCATGTGCTTGTGTGTGTGTGTGTGTGTATGTGTGTATTTGGGGAATTGTAATGGGAATGGCATGCTCTACCCTCTAGAGTGATCTCTGGCCCCCTTCATTCCACTTTCCATAACAAGCATGGGCAGAGCCATCTGGCTTACATACATTCACATGAAGCATTAGCTGAAAGTAGCAATAATATATTGAATTATCAATGATACATATATTATAATGAATGAGCTTATAATGGAAGAAATGAACTCTCCTCCACTTAGTGCAATATTCCTTGCAATCTTCATTTATTAACACTTCCTCACATCATGATGGCAGTATTGCAAAGATTTATACTAGAGGAATGGCCTGGAAAAGAGGCCAACAGTATTAGTCAGTCTGATTTTAATCTAAGCCTAATGCCTGCCTCTAGTTTGGCCCAAAACTGCTTATAAAGCTCTTCTGCAGTCTAGTTCAATTAACCAGGTGTCTTTACCATGCAAATAAGGTAAAGGAAAAGGAAAAGGAAAAATCAAGAACAACTGATACATATTTGGCTAAAAACACTGCATGTAAGTGATAGTATTTATTGAGCAGGAAGGAATACTGCTTGTTGATGATGGAGAGAGTTCTTATTTGGCCATGTTAAGTTAGAAATATCTTAGATCTTCAATAAAAGTATCGAGTGAGAAGTTTTATAAAAATTATAACACATTGATGAAAGTGTATTTGAGAGTTTTAATGGGAGTGGCATGCTCTACCCTCTAGAGTGATCTCACGTCCTCTTCATTCCATTTTCCAGAACAAGCATGGGTGGAGCCATCTGGCTTGCATATATCCACATGAAGCATCAGCTAAAGTGTCAATAATATAGAATTACTAATGATACATTATAGTGGGTATATATATGATATTACTGCAGAGAATAATTTGGGGCTCATTGACACATGGCCAACATTTAAAATAAGAGAATTAGATAGGCTCCCTTAGAAGCAACAACATGTTTGAAGAAAAAGAAGCCCAGGACAAGTCTGGACACACCCCAACAATATCACATAGAGCAGAGGAGGATGTGACAAAGGAGGCAAAGTTGGTCAATGAAAACCAGCAGAGATGCCCTTAAATCTTGCAGAAGAAGGTATTTCAATTACCTGTATTCATCATAATAAAAAATCATTTTGAAAAATCAAAATGGTAGCTAAATGTGATATGGAAGAACATTTAAACAATTTTTTTTTCTAAGGTAGGAGCTAGTAAGTTCATATGCTGCCATTCAGAATGATTCACTAGAGACAGAAATTAGTGTTGCAGGATATAAGGGAGATAATTGAAGGAGAGATACTGTGAGAAAAAATGGGATTCTAATTAGAGAGGACGTGTGGGCCTTTGAGAGGAGCAAAGGCCCTGCACTCATCAAGATAGCACAGAAGCACAGCTGTTACAGATGCAGAGATGCATATGAGCTGCTAGATGTGTGCTTACTAGTAGCAGTGTCTCTTTTTTTTTAATAAAGTAAGAGGTAAAGCCATTTGCTAGCTAGGAGGGTTTGAGAGGTAGAATTGTCCACAGAAGAGAAAGTGTGAAATAATCATTTTGGACAGTGGAAAATTAAACATATTGATAGGGACAGGAGGCAGGGAAATTCTGGGCAGAAGAAGGCGGGTCCCCATCAAGGGCCCCACCATCAATCCTGGAGCTATGGCCAAAAGTGAGAACATGCATTCCTGTTTTCCTGATCAAATGTTGCCTTTTCCAAAACCACCCATGGCCCACCCTGCTGCACATCTTGTGCCCATAAAAACTCCAGGCTCCACTGGCAGAAAGAGGAGAAGAGGAGAAGCAGCTGGATGTTGGAGACTACAGTTGGATGTCAAAGAGAAGCAACTTGACTTCAGAGGGATGGCATGACGGTGTAGCTCTACCTTCCAGCTCTTCCCCTTTTCAGCTCCCTTTCCCTCTGAGAGCCATTTTCATCAGCAATAAAGTCCCCCACATTTGCCATATCCAATTTGTTCATGCAAACTTGTTCCTCTTGGACACTGGACAAGAACTTGAATGTAGGTGCAAAAGGCTGTCACACTGACCCTCCACTGTGCTGTTAACACTTAAGCCATACACAGATGACAAAGCTAAAAAAGCACTGACTGTAATACTCCTTCTGGGGCTTTAGGGGTTGCGGCCACCCCCCTAGATACTGTTGTGGGGCTAGTGTGGAATTTGTTACTGCCATCACCCTGGCTTCCATACCTGCTCACCTATATGCTTCCTTCCACGAGGGGTTGAGCGCAGCAGGTCAAATGAGTGGAGTTTGCCCCTGCTGGCACCTGTGTGCTCCAATTCCCACCCACGAAGGAGTCAGGGAAAATTTCCTGCTTCAATACTAAGGAAATACATAAGTTTGCTAGGCAAAGTTGTATAATCTTTGGTAATCTGTGGACATAAATGGAAGAACATTTTATCAGTAGTGAAGAGGTCAAGAAAACAAGGACCCCACTCTGTTTCCTAAGAGACATGAGTAGATATAAATGAAAAAGTCTGTGCTGCTTTCCTCATTTACTTTCTGTTCCCCATTGTAATTAACTATGAGTATCCACTTTCTCTGTCTGCCAATGTTTGGACCTAAATTCACCATAAATTTCCTATATATAGGAATTAATATAAGAAAGATGTTATATTTATAGGTGGGATTAAGGGTCAGGGATATTCCTAACAGTATAGATGGATAGGTACAAAGATCCAAAGAGGTAATACACCATGCCCATCAGAAGGTTTTTTATTGGAAGAAAATCCTTGTGATAAAGAAACTCAGAGGTCTTTGAAATAACTGGACCAACACAAACAAAATGAAATAAAACAAAAAAAAAATCACTAAAATTAACCAAATAAATTCTGCAAGTCAGGAATTTACTTTTATTTTCCTTT
Organism: Homo sapiens; assembly: GCF_000001405.40. Lineage (NCBI taxonomy): Eukaryota > Metazoa > Chordata > Mammalia > Primates > Hominidae > Homo > Homo sapiens. The sequence continues at coordinate 49,296,909 of NC_000006.12, read as the reverse complement.
TAATTGCTTTATTTACAGAAGTTTCTATGAAAGATTAAAGGAGAACCACAAAAAATTTAGGGAATTTTAAACTTCTCTCATATTGTATATGCTTACGTTGTATACGTGTGTGCATATATCTCTTTTTTCTTGAAGAAAAAACGTGTATACAGGACTCTGTAGGAGAGAGCCTTGCAGAGGTGGGGAACCCCTTTTTATTCAGATACCTTGAATATTTTCCATATTAGAAGTAAATATGCCAACTTCTCACTGCAATTTTATCTTCAAGATTAATAAAATAATGAAGGCTTCAAAAAGTTTAACTATTTCCCCAACTCTTAATAGGCATATCTGAGACATTACTACTTCAACTAATGACAAAATGGTAAGCCAATTTTATTGTTGCTGCTTTTTTCTCTCCCTTTTTTGAGTTTCATTGTTTAGAATTCCTTCCCTGCTGCTTGTAAAATCCCATTCCCTACTTTATAAACATGTGGAATATTTTTGAGAAAGGGAATAACAAATAGGTGAGGAGAAACTTTTCCTGAAATCTACAGTGTAATAACTGCAATTCCTATTCTAGTTCCCAGTGTTTCCAGAAATAGTCTTACTCTATCTCCTCTTGTAGAAATGCTGTAATGAACATAGAGACTTCCAAAGTATTCTAAGTAAAATATATGTTTGCCTTAGTTTTTGCATGGGCTACAACTCTATAAACAATCTCTCTTTACATATACGTCTTCTCCACACATTGCTATATATTCTGCTTTACCCTGAGAAATAACATACAAAATCTCTTTTAAAAATAACAAAAGAAGGCCGGGGGCAGCGGCTCATGCCTGTATTCCCAGCACTTAGGGAGGCCGAGGCGAGTGGATCACGAGGTCAGGAGATTGAGACCATCCAGGCCAACATTGTGAAACCCTGTCTCTACTAAAAATACAGAAACAAAAAAAAAATTAGCTGAGTGTGGTGGTGCATGCCTGTAATCCCAGCTACTCAGGAGGCTGAAGCAGGAGAATCACTTGAACCCAGGAGGTGGAGATTGCAGTGAGCCAAGATCGCACCACTGCACTCCAGTCTGGCAACAGAGTGAGACTGCATCTAAAAAAATAAAAAATAAAAAAAAAAACAGGAGGAACAAATTAAATTACAATTAATAAGTAAAGGAAATAGTTAAAATAGTTATACTAGCCACTTTTCCTGGGTAGTGGCACCTAAATCCCCAGCTTCAGTTTCCACTCATATGCTGATTACTATCTCATGGAAGTGTGCCAGGCTTTTGGCTTCCCTGGTACCTTTGAAAACTCATCTTTTTGGGGGGGATTTCTCGAGCCACTTGTCGGTGATTTCCCAAAATGGATGCCAGAAACACTTTCCCTTCTTTACTAGCAGTTGGGGCACACGTTTGTATGAACTAGGTTGTATCCATCAGACACAGCCGTATGAGACTTGATTAAAAAGTGACTGTAGAAACAAATGTCCTGGAATCCATTCTTCTAGGACCGGCCTTAGAACCATCCAGCTTTCAGACGAAACCCAAGTTATAATATTTTTTAAATTTTATTTTGTGGCATAGATATTTTATTTTTTAATAATTATTTATTTTATTAACTTTTATTTTTAAGTTCAGAGGTACATGTGCAGGTTTGTTATATAGGTAAACTTGCGATGTGGGGTTTCTGGTACAGATTATTTCATCACCCAGGTATTAAGCATAGTACCCATTAGTTATTTTTCATGATCCTCTCCCTCCTCCCACCCTCTTGTAGGCCCCAGTGTGTGTTGTTCCCCTCTATGTATCCATGTTTTCTCATAATTTAGCTCCCATTTATAAGTGAGAACACGTGGTATTTGGCTTTCTGTTCCTTTGCTAGTTTGCTAAGGATAACGGCCCCCAGCTCAATCCGTGTTCCTGCAAAGGACATGATATCATTCTTTTTATGGCTACACAGTATTCTATGGTGTATATGCATTAAATTTTCTTTATCCAGTCTACCATTGATGGACATTTAGGTTGATTCCATGTCTTTGTTATTGTGAATAGTACTGCAATGAACATACATGTGCATATGTGCTTATGACAGAACATTTTATGTTCCTTTGGGTACATACCCAGTAATGGGATTGATGAATTGAGTGGTAGTTCTGTTTTTAGGTCTTTGAGTACTACTATCACACTGTCTTCTACAATGGTTGAACTAATTGACACTCTCACCAACAGTGTATAAGCATTCCCTTTTCTCCACAACCTTATCAGCATCTGTTATTTTTTGACTTTTTAATAATAGTTATTCTGACTGGTGTGAGATGGTATCTCACTGTGGCTTTGATTTGCATTTCTCTAGTGATCTGTGATGTTGAGCTTTGTTTCATATGATTGTTGGCCACATGTATGTTTTCTTTTCAGAAGTGTCTGTTCATGCCCTTTGCCCACTTTTTAATGGGGTTGTTTGTTTTGTTTCTTATAAGTTTGTTTAGGTTCCTTATATATGCCGACTTTTTTCAGATGCATAGTTTGCAAAAATTTTCTCCCATTCTGTGGGTTGTCTGTTTACTCTGTTGAAACTCAAATTATAAGGCAAGGATAACAAGACTGGATAAAAAAATAAGTATTGGTTTTCTAGAGATGCATTTATGAATTCAAAGACACAAATATGTTAACGTGAAAAGATATAAAACCTGTACTATTCAAACCTTAACCATAAGACAGCTGTAGCACATATGTTAATGCTGGTTAAAATGGGAAATCAAACTACAAAGAGAAATTCATCAGACACAACAGAGTGGAAATTTTCTAACTCACTTAGCTTGGTGAATGATTGAATAAATAGAAAAATAATATAGTAACAATACTGAAGTTGGGAACATTAAAGTTATTTAGCAAATATAAAAAATAAGAATTTTAATATATGTACACACAGCATTATTACAGTTGACTTTGTAGAGGTTACAAAACAAATTTCGATACATTCCAAAACATTTACATCATTAGGACTGTATTATACTAAAAGTATATTAAACAGAAATTGTATTCATTTGTTTTCACACTGCTATAAAGAACTACCTGAGACTGGGTAATTTATAAAGAAATGAGGTTTAGTTGACTCACAGTTCTGCATGACTGGAGAGGCCTCAGGAAACTTACTATCATGGTGGAAGGCGGAGAAGCAAGCACCTTCTTTACAAGGTGGCAGGAGAGAGCAAAAAAAAGGAGGGGAATTGCCACACATTTTTAAACCCTCAGATCTCATAAAAAACTCACTTACTATCATAAAAACAATATGTGGGAAACCACCTCCATGATCTAATCACCTCCCATCAGGTTCCTCCCTTGACACATGGGGATTACAATTTGAGATGTGGGTGGCAACACAGAGCCAAACCATGTAATAGATATAAGAAACAAAGATGGAGGATAAGAGATTCTAAACTACTTGTTCAGATAATTTACTTGTGTCCTCTACACCTACTTAGCCACAATTTCAAATGTACCATTTTTTATCAGGTGATAGATTACTGCTGTGACTATTTTAGAATTTGTTGGATATAGCAATACATAGGATATGATGGACATTTTTGGTTGCATTGTCAATTGATGTCTGCTGGGGAGTCACTCCAGGGCTCAGGAACGAACCATGAATAGTTTTTCAAATGGCAAGTAATTTTCTGCTGTAGAAGGCATGACTTGCTCTGCGATCCTTTGATTTTCCTTCTGGGGCTTGCCAGAGGCTTCACACAGAGTTCTTATTTGCCACATCTATTTCTAGCACCATTAAACATATGGGAGATTACAAAGAGAGGAACAGGGCATCTTATTCTTCAGCTTACATCTGATACAAAGCCCTATCTTCATCAGGTCCCCATTCAAAACTCTTAGCCTTCTGAAGCGCTTGGTAAATGAGTTGGATTGGTAATCCTGAGGATAAAATATATTACCATAGGACTCACTGAACATTTTGACTTGTTCCATATAGTTTCTGTAAACATTTCATTTATACTTGAACAGAATGAATGACTATTTTCTAATTACATAGGACAATCTTGTTAATAGTATTCTTACCATTCTTTATATTCTTATTAAATTTTTTGATTGTTCTATTACTTATTTATAAAGGTATCTGAGAAACCTTACTGACATGCTGGATTAGTTTATTTACTTGTAATTTTATAAAATTCCTTTTATCATTTTAGGCTCTTACTAAAGAAACCTGCTTACATTTATTACATTCCTTTATCGAATCAAAACATTTCTCAATGTAGAATGACATTCAATATCACATAATGCTTTTTGATATGAAGTCTGTTCTGTCTGATACAAACATAGCAATCCCAGTTTTCTTTTGTTAAAATATTTTTATATTGTTTTATTTTCAACCTTTCAGTACATTTATGTTTGAGGTGTGTCTCTTACAAATACATATAGCTGAATTAATTTTTAAAAACCAATTTGAGAATCTTTGTATTTATCTAGAAATTTGTTATTTGTATTAAATGTAATCACTATAATATTACACATTTCATTTTCTTTCACATGTGGTTTTACTTTGTCTTCCTTTCCCTAAATGTATTTGTTTTCTTTTTTGAAGGAAATATTTTTATTCCTTTTTTTCACTTTATGATTTTGGAGTTTAATAATTAATTTCTGTTATTTTAGAGCTCACCCATATGATTTTAATATTTTAGCTAACTTGAAATCTAAAAATATTTTTAAAAATATAGTACTTAATATTCCAATTCTAATAATTAATTTTTAATTTACATATTTATATCACTCATAAATTATTGCATAATAAGCTTCATGGTAATATTGGATTTTTATTGTAAAGAATCAAAAAACTCATTAAGCATATACAGTAGAAATTCATATTTAGTAGCCTATTGATATTCACATGTATAAAGTTAATATTTGTACAAATAAAATTGTATTTTATTATGAAATCTATTTTAGTGAAGGATCTTAAGCTCAAATTAGCATATTATAAATAAGAACTTAAAGAAATTACACAGGCTTTGGTATCTATACTGTTTGAATTAAAATCTTATTTATTTTATCACGTCCATAATCTCAGCACTTTGGGAGGCCGAGGAGGGTGCATTGCTTGAGGTCAGGAGTTTAGAACCAGCCTGGTCAACATGGCAAAACCTCATCTCTACTAAAAATACAAAACTTCACTGGCTGTGGTGGTGCATGCCTGTAATCCCAGAGACCAGGGAGGCTGAGGTAGGAGGATTGCTTGAACCCGGAGGTGAAGGTTGCAGTGAGCCGAGATCACACCACTGCACTCCATCCTGGGTGACAGAGCAAGACACTGTCTCAAAAAATATATATATTATTTATTTTTTTTTCCGTGACTGTAGACTTAACTGTTAATGATGAATATACTTCCTTTGTAGCTGGTTATTATTGACTATCATTAAGTATGCCAAATATATTCAGAAAGAAACAACTGCAAATGCCCACTTAATATCTGTATTTAGATAACTTAAAATATGTCCAAAGATTTATCTTCAAGTTTTAGAGTGCGTATTTCATGAACAAAAGCTTTCAAAAACTGATTCAATTGAAGTTGGAGTTAAACTTATTGTCCGCAGAAAAAATATAAATATTTTTATTTCTGATTGTGAGAAAATGTGTTTTGAAAGGTGTTTTATACCTTCCTTATTTGCTTAGTGTGAAAATTTGAGATGGAATTAGAAAATGATCTATGTGGAATGTGTTTTCTCAACATGGCCCTGAAAAAACTAAACATATGTTTTTAATTATAATACTATCTAGTGTATGCAAAACATTACTGTTTATTTACTATAAGATACAAAAAGCTTGCAGAACTTAATTGAACAGTAGCAGTCTAGTACAAAACCGAACTGTTTAAAAGCATTCAATAGTTTTTCTTTTTTTAATTTTTTTTTAATTATATTTTAAGTTTTAGGGTACATGTGCACAACGTGCAGGTTTGTTACATATGTATACATGTGCCATGTTGGTGTGCTGCACCCATTAACTCGTCATTTAACATTAGGTATATCTCCTAATGCTATCTCTCCCCACTCCCCCCATCCCACAACAGGCCCCTGTATGTGATGTTCCCCTTCCTGTGTCCGTGTGTTCTCATTGTTCAATTCCCACCTATGAGTGAGAACATGCAGTGTTTGGTTTTTTGTCCTTGCAATAGTTTGCTGAGAATGATGGTTTCAATATTTTAAAGTTTCTGTTCATTTTATAATCTTTCTAATATGACAGGGATTCTTAGAAGTTAAGTTTATTGATTAAAGATGGATTGCTTCTTTTGTTTTTAGTATTCTTTATGGTTTAAGAGCAGAGGCCCTAAACTTTCCTAGAGTTAAATGTGCAAGCTTTGTGGTTAGAGTATCAGACGTCTCTGTAGTCTCTCACACAGCAGAGCTGCCGTGGAACAACTGCCAAAGGACCAGGACACTGCATAGTTATATCATTTCCTTCATCCAATGGGATCCTGCATTGAAAAATATCATGCAGCAGGCAGGTGCTGAACAGTTATTAAAAATCTCAATGAAAGAGGCTAGCCTGACTCGAGAAAAATTCAAAACCTGCCTTTACACTTATGATTATGAGATAGTCCATGATCAGAGGTGATAAATTACAGAACAGCATATTTCACCCCACATTTTATTCTACTTTTCTCTCAAACTTTATTTATTTCTCTTAAACTTTCTGGAGTCTGCTCACTTCCCTCGAAGGTATCAGTGACTTGCTGAAATATATCTTACAATGTGTTTTCATAGAAAAAGTGAGATAGAGGATACATTAACAATACAGATAAATTTTGACTATCCACACATTACATTGGGGCATAAAGTGTTTAATTACCCTTTTTTCTCTCTTTTGCCTTTCTAAAATCTATTGATCCAATTGAATTTATCAGCAAATATTTACTGATTATGGACAATGATGGTTAGGTATTACAAGGAGAGAAATAAGAAATATATTGTTCTAAAGTAGGCTTCTTGCCAGTAAAATATCTAAGAATTCATTTACAACTTCCTGGCCTTCCTCAAACTTCTGTGTGTAAAAGACTAAGATACTACAGGACGATTTCCCATCATTCCCCATCTCACACACAATAAAGCTTGGACATACAGTGAAAACAACCACCTAAAGTTCCCAGACAATGAGTGGAAACAGTCAGGCACTAGTCCAGAGTTTATGCTCTCTTGAAAGAGGGAAGGTGAAAATCTACACAAGTGTAAAATCAAGATTATATCAAATACCTCCTCTGACCATATTGGAATAAAACTAGAAACCAATAAAAGGAAGAACTTTAGAAATTATAAAATTTATAGAAACAAAACAACATACTTCTGCATGACATGGGGAAATAAATAAATTAGAAAAGGAATTAAAAATTTTTTGAGATAGATAAAAATGGAAACACAACATACTAAAACCTATGGGATACAGCAAAAGCACTTCAAAAAGGGGAGTTTATAGCAATAAATAAAAATTAGAAAGATCTCAAATAGACCACCTAATATTGTATCTTAAGGAATTAGCAAGAAAAAATCCAACTAACTGAGCTCAAAATTAGCAGTAGAAGAAAAATAAGTAAAAAGTTGATAGGTGCAGCAAACTACTATGGCACATGTTTACCTACGTAACAAACCTGCACATCTTGCACATTTACCCTGGAACTTAAAAAAAAATTAAAAGAAAAACTACAAATATCATCTGGATAGAAAAAAAATACAAAAAAAAGCAGCTTGGTTTTTCATAATGCTTTGAAAAGAACTTTGACTAACTGTATGATCTTTATAGGGACAATACCAACATCAGTGCATTTCCTGAGCTTGTGTTTTTATACACAGAAACCATGAGCAAAATGAACAAAGCTGGAAGTTGCACACTACCTGACTTCAAAATACACTATAAAGCTATAGTAACCAAACAGCATAGCACTGGCATAAAAACAATCACACATACCAATGGAACAGAATAGAGAAAACTGAGATAAATCCACACATTTAAAACCAACTGATTTTTAACAAAGGCACCAAGAACATACACTAAGGAAAAAGTCTCTCCAATAAATGGTGCTGGGAAAGAAAACTGGTAATCCACATGCAGAAAATGAAACTAGATGCTCACCTCTCACCTTATGCAAAAATCAATTCAAAATGGATTAAACTTAAATGTGAGACCTGAAACAATAAAAGTATTAGAAGAAAATTTAGGGGAAATGCTTCATAACGTTGTTCTAGGCAAGAAATTTTTGGGTAAGAACTCAAAAGCACAGGTAACAGAAGCAAAAATAGACAAAGGGAATCAAACCAAAAAGCTTCTGCATGACAGAGGAAATAATCAACAAAGTGGAGCAACACACAGAATGGAAAAAATATTTTCAAACCATGCATCTGATGGAGGGTTAAAATCCAGAATATATAAGGAACTCAAACAACTCAATAATAAAATAATAATAATAATCATCATCATCATTATCTGATAAAAAGTGGACAAAAGATCTAAATACATTACTCAAGAGAAGATATACAAATGGCCAATAGGTAGAGGCCCACCTTGTTTAACTGCATTTCACAGATATTGCATTTTTTACTAATTGAATTTTCTTGTTAGCTCTGCAATAAGCAAGTCTTTGGACACCATTTTTTCCAAGAGGGTGCACTCACTTTGTATCTCTATGTCACATTTTGATAATTCTCACAATATTTAAAACTTTAAAAAATTATTGCTTTATCTGTTATAGTGATCAGTGATCTTCAATGTTAATGTTGTAATTGTATTGGGGTGCCACTAACCATATACATATTGGATGACAAAATTATTCAATAAATATTTTGTGTGTTTTGACTACTCCACTGATTGAGTGCTTCTTTGTCTCTCTATCTCTCCTTGGGCCTCCCTATTCTCTGAGACACAACAATATTGAAATTAGGCAAATTAATAACCCTGCAATGTCCTCTAAGTGTTCAAGAGTGAAAAGAAGAGTCACACGGTTTTCACTTTACATCAAAATCAAGGAATGATAAAGCTTAGTGAGGAAGGCTTGTTGAAAATGGAAAAAGGCCAAATACTAGGCATCTTGTGTCAGCTAGGCAAGCTGTGAATGCCAAAGAAAAGTTCTTGATGGAAAACAAAAATGCTACTTCAGTGAACACGTGAATGATAAGAAAGTAAAACAGCCTTATTGATGACATGGAGAAAGTCTGAGTGGTTTGGGTAGGAGATCAAACCAGCTACAACATTTCCATAAGTCAAAGCCTAATTCAGAGCAAGATCCTAACTGTCTTCAATTCTCTGAAGGCTGAGCAAAGTGAGGAAGCTACAGAAGAAAAGTCTGAAACCAACAGAAGTTGGTTCATGAGGTTTAAGGAAAGAAGCTGTCTTTATAACATAAAAACGAAAGATGAAGCAGCAAGTGCAGATATAAAATCTGTAGCAAGTTATCCAGAAGCTCTACCTAAGATATTTAATGAAGGTAGGTCCACTAAACAAAAGATTCAATGTAGATGAAAGAGCTTTATATTGAAAAAGATGCCATCTAAGACTTTCACAGCTAGAAAGGTGAATTCAATGCCTGGTTTCAAAGCTTCAAATGACAGGCTGACTCTCTTGTTATAGGCTAATGCAGCTGGTGACTTTAGGATAAAACCAATGTGGATTTGCCATTCCATAAATTCTAGGACCCTTAAGAATTATACTAAATCTACTCTACCTATTAGCTAAAAATGGAACAAAGCCTGTGTGACAGCATGTTTGTTTACAGCATGGTTTACTGAATATTTTAAGTTCATTGTCAAGACCCACTGCTCAGAAAAAAAGAATACCTTTCAAAATATTACTGCTCACTAACAGTGAACCTGGTCACCCCAGCGCTCCAGTTATGAAGATATGCAAGGAGATTAATGCTGTTTTTATATATGTTAACTCAAGATCCATTCTGCAGCCTGTGAATCAAGGAGTAATTTTGAATATGTTTCATTAAGGATATCACTGTCACAGATAGTAATTCTTCTGATGGATGTGGATGAAGTAAATTGAAAAACTCTGGAAAGGATTTATCATTCTAGGTACCATTAAGAACACTGGTGATTCATGGAAAGAAGTTAAAACATTGATTTTAGCAGGATTTTGGAAGTTGATTCCAACCCTCATGGATGACTTTGAGGGGTTCAAGATATCAGTGTAGGAAGTTACTGTAGATGTGATACAAATAGCAAGACAACTAAAAGTGAAGCCTAAAGATGTGACTGAATTATGGGAATCTCATAACTAAATTGAATGAATGAAGAGTTGCTTTTTATGGATAAGCAAAGAAATGTATCTTGAGATGGAATCCACTCTTGGTGAAGATGCTGTGAACATTATTGAGATGATGAGAAAGGTTTTAGAGTATTCTATAGTCTTAGTTCATAAAGCAGCAGCGGGGTTTGAGAAGACTGACTCCAATTTTGAAAGAAGTTCTACTGTGAGTAAAATGCCATCAAACAGCATCAGATGCTAAGAATTTTTTTTGTGAAAGAAAGAGTCAATAAATTTGGCAAACTTCATTATTATCTTAAGAAACTGCCACAGCCACCTCAACTTCAGAAATCATCACCCTGATCAGTCAGAAGCCATCAACATAGAGGCAAGATCCTCCACCAGCAAAAAGATTATGACTAACTGAAGGTTCAAATGATCATTAGCATGTTTTAGCAAATAAGTATTTTTAAATTATGGCATGTACAGTTTTAAAGACATAATGCTATCATACAGTTAATAGAGTGCAATATAGTGTAAACAAAAGTTTTATATTCACTGGAAAACCAAAAAAAATTGTTGATTCCCTTTATTGCCATATTTGGTTTATTGCAGTTGTCTAGAACTGAATCCACAATACCTCCAAAGTATGCTTGTATACAAAAAACATTACTAATCATCAGGGAAAAGCAAATCAAAATCACAATGATATATCCCCTCACACTTTTCAGAATGGCTATTACCAAAGTAACAATACATGCTATTGACTGTCTTTTTAATAGGCATGGATGTGGATGAGGAGAAATAGGTAACCTTCTACAGTGTTGGTAGAAATTTACATTAGTAGAAACTTTATGAAAAAAAAAGTCTGGAGGAACCTCAAAAAATTACAAATGAAACTAGCATATAATCTGGCAATCCCACTACTAGTTTTATTTATCCAAAGAAAATGAAACCAGTATGTCGAAGCGATATCTACATTCTCATGTTTATTCCAGTAGTATTCACAATAGCCAAGATATGAAATCAACCTAAGAGTTCATCATGGATAAATCAATTTTTGAAAATGTGGTATTTTTACACAGTGGAATACCATTTAGCCTTAAAAAAGAAAGAAATCCTTTGATTTCCAAAATCCGATGAACCTGGCTGACATTATGTCAAATGAACTAAGCCAGGTGTAGAAAGACAAATGCGACATGTTCTCATTCATTTGCACAATCTGAAATAGTTGATTTCACAGAAATTCAGAGTAGAATAGTGTTTATTAGAGTCTAGAAAGAGAAAGATGGAGAGAGATTGGTCAAAAAGTGCAAAGTTACATTTAGATAGGATAAATAACTTTCGGCATTCTGAAATATATAATATTGTATTGTATATTTCAAAATAACTAGAAGAAAGTATTTTTGAATGTTTTCATCACAAAGAATAATAAATGTTGGAGATGATAGATAAGCTAAATACCCTGATTAATCATTACAAAATGTATACATATATCAAAACATCACAATGTAACCCATAAATATGTACAATTATTATGTATAAATCAAAAATAAAATAAAACTTTAAAAATAAATTATTATTTTTATCTAGCTGACTCAGATATTTTAAGTTATATGTAGAGGCAAAAACAGTGAACTCTATTGCTAGGTCCTGTGTTCTAGGACAGACCTGGAATTTGAACCCAAATATTAAATGAAGGAAGACATAATATATCAAAGACATCTAAAGCTTTCTGTGTTTGGAATAATATAATTATTGTAAAATTTACATAGAACAAAATCAATTCAAAAAAGGCAATTTTTTTTCTAATATGAGGTTACTTTGTATTAACAATTAATATAGTTAATTAATAATTATTAATAATGATTAATATTCTATAGCATGTAAATAATATTACATTTATGTTTTACATAGTAAGCCATTATTTTAAGTAGATTTTTACATAAGAATTACCTGGATTGAAGAGGGCCAGAGGGAAAAACTAATGGTGAAAAGTGACATAAAACATAATTATTATTCTAAAATTAAACTATATTATGTCACAAAATAGAAAAATGCCATTACCAGCTGGTTGCTAACAGCCAGGAATTGCTTTTGTATAACAGTTGAAATGCAAAAGCCAGTCATTTCCATTTTATTGGATAGGGGAAGAAGCCATAATGTAAGTTTTTATAGGGATATTCACAGTTACTGCTGTTATCCATAATTCCTGTGTCCTTTCCAAATGTAACCAACTAATGTAAATTGTTTTTGGTCATACTGATTTATGTCATAATGATAGCAATTACAGCAGGGCAAGTTGTATTTGACAAGTCAGTTGAGTACTTTTAGCCTGGCACTGTTGAATTACAGCTTTCAGAAGGCACCCCTGGGTCCTTAAAATGTCTATCATCAAGTCTTGAATGAAATCAATTTTATAAACATAGCAGAAATTATGAGTGCTGTCATACTTAAAAGCTTTCCCTTTCGAAATTTGTGCATCAATCTCAACACATTATTATTGCCTCAAAACTTTTATGACCTTTTTGTAAAGCATTATTGCAATAGACTTTAAATATTCTTATTAGTGGAAAATTTATTTTTTGTGGATTATCATAATATATAAAAACATATATATTTATATTGAAGCCAAGATAATGGAATGTATATATGAATATGAATTGATTAGTGTCTGAATATTCATATATGTTCATCTCTATAAACTATCTATCTATCCACTGTATCTCTATGCCATCTGGATAAACAATAAAAAAAATGAGCTTAACGATAACCTTGAGCCGTAGTATATAAATAACTCCCACAAGCTTAGTGTTCCAATAACGTAACACTAGGCATAAATGGGTTCATACCTTGACCCAGTGCTTAAAATTGTCACTTGAATTCTGTAAATCTGAGATCTTGAAATGCTTTAAAACAAAGGTTTTCAGACAAAGGTAACTTTAAACTTAATTGTCATTAACTTGCCATAATTCAAACATTTCTCATTTTGTAAAAGAAGCCAGAATTCTTAGAAGATTCAGTCTGAAAAATTCTATGAAAAGGAAAAAATGAAATTCTGTTAACATGAAAAACTCTCTTACTTCACCACCTCCATGAAGAATCATTTTGGTGGATTGGAATGATCAGGGTAGAAGAGAGAAAATTGATTTAATTTTAAGAAATGGAGAACTTGGAAGGTATGGGCACTAAAATAAATTAGGTGAATTTTAAATAACAAGAGATTATCATTAGTGAACTGTCACCTTGGCCTATGACAGGTTCAAATTAGGGAATAGCTTCCTATGCACACATAACTTGGTCCAAGGAGTAAATAACCACAGAAACTTCTATTTTAGAGCATGTAACTACTCTAAAATGAAAGTATCCACCCCACTAGAGTAATTTCTTCATAATTTCCTGCTTTAAGTTCCAGAGTGAATGGAACATAAGTTATTCCTTAAAGTAAAATGAGTATCATTTTTAATGTAAATATATTTGAAATACATAGTAAGGATGTAGCTCTACAAATTTAGACTATTTTAGGAGCTGTAGCTCTTTATATAAATACAATTTTATTTTCTTCCCAGATCATAGTTTCAGACTTTGTGAGATATATAAGAATATATTTCACAAAACTATGAAAGATAGATAGACTTCTTAGATTTAATGTGAAATGATTACATATTTTATATATTTCATAAAGGTATTTTTTATTATGGTATGATTTGCTTATAATTCTTAGTAGTGGTGTGGAACACATCAGAGTACCATTCCTATTTGCAACTTATGTAAAGTACTGAACAAGAAGTTGAAACAAATATCTATATGTTCAGTGTTATTTTGGTTGTTGCCTACAATGAGCTGCATTTATATTATATTACAATATAATATAATAATATATAGTATAGTATAGTAGTATACTATACTATCTAATTATTTTTTATATTTATTAAATAAAATATAATGTATATTATTATATTATATATATTTATCTGTTTATAATTACATAATTATTTCTAATATGATAATATTATATACTATTATTACAATATCTAATTAGTATTATATATCATTGTATATTAAAAGTTATATTTTAGTATGTCATTAATAATGATACAATAATGATATTATATTATATATTTCATATATATCATTAATATTATGAGTATTATAATATAATAATATATCTATAACATATAGTATATTATTTATAGATATCATATTATAACATTTATATTATGGATATTGCATTGATATATAATATAATAGCATATATATTAGTATGTAGTATAATATTATATGGTATAAATATTTTATGCTACTAATAATATAACAAATGATTGAGAGAGAGACAGAAAACAATGTTAGAATTTGAAATTCATGAGACCACAGTAAGTAGAAAATAAAGCCACAGACCAAAAGGTCTATACATAGAAGTAGGGCTTGGGAAGTAAAAATAATATAGATAGTAATATAATACTAATATATACTATTATATATCATATATTAATATCACATATTATATATTAATAAGATATTATATAATATACATAAGTATATTATATATTAAATATATAATGGTGTGTAATACGTAAATTATAAATATATACTATAACATAATTATTTTATATAATATAAAATAATATATAATTGTATATAATACGTAAGTATATATTATATAATATATCATACTATATACTATATATATTATATTAATATATAATATATACTACTATATACTATTATACTATTATTGTATATGTTATGATAAAATATAAGTAGATACTTTTTTCTTTTCTTTTTTTAATTGTACTTTAAGTTCTAGGGTACATGTGCACAACGTGCAGGTTTGTTACATATGTATACATGTGCCATGTTGGTGTGCTGCACCCATTAACTCGACATTTACATTAGGTTTATCTCCTAATGCTATCCCTCCCCCTCCCCCCACCCCACAACAGGCCCTGGTGTGTGATGTTCCTCTTCCTGTGTCCATGTGTTCTCATTGTTCAATTCCCACCTATGAGTGAGAATATGCGGTGTTTGGTTTTTTGTCCTTGCGATAGTTTGCTGAGAATGATGGTTTCCAGCTTCATCCATGTCCCTACAAAGGACATGAACTCATCCATTTTTATGGCTGCATAGTATTCCACGGTGTATATGTGCCATATTTTCTTAATCCAGTCTATCATTGATGGACATCTGGATTGGTTCCAAGTCTTTGCTATTGTGAATAGTGCTGCAATAAACATACATGTGCATGTGTCTTTACAGCAGCATGATTTGTAATCCTTTGGGTATATACCCAGTAATGGGATGGCTGGGTCAAATGGTATTTCTAGTTCTAGATCCTTGAGGAATTGCCACACTGTCTTCCACAATGGTTGAACTATTTTACTGTTCCACCAACAGTGTAAAAGTGTTCCTATTTCTCCACATCCTCTCCAGCACCTGTTGTTTCCTGACTTTTTAATGATCACCATTCTAACTGGTGTGAGATGGTATCTCATTGTGGTTTTGATTTGGATTTCTCTGATGGCCATTGATGATGAGCATTTTTTCATGTGTCTGTTGGCTGCATAAATGTCTTCTTTTGGGAAGTGTCTGTTCATATCCTTCACCCGCTTTGTGATGGGGTTGGTTTTTTCTTGTAAATGTGTTTGAGTTCTTTGTAGATTCTGGATATTAGCCCTTTGTCAGATGAGTAGATTGCAAAAATTTTCTCCCATTCTGTAGGTTTCCTGTTCACTCTGATGGTAGTTTCTTTTGCTGTGCAGGAGCTCTTTAGTTTAATTAGATCCCATTTGTCAATTTTGGCTTTTGTTGCCACTGCTTTTGGTGTTTTAGACATGAAGTCCTTGCCACGCCTATGTCCTGAATGGTATTGCCTAGGTTTTCTTCTAGGATTTTGAGGGTTTTAGATCTAACATTTAAGTCTTTAATCCATCTTGAATTAATTTTTGTATAAGGTGTAAGGAAGGGATCCAGTTTCAGCTTTCTACATATGGCTAGCCAGTTTTCCCAGCATCATTTATTAAATAGGGTATCCTTTCCCCATTTCTTGTTTTTGTCAGGTTTGTCAAAGATCAGATGGTTGTAGATGTGTGGTATTATTTCTGAGGGCTCTGTTCTGTTCCATTGGTATATATCTCTGTTTTGGTACCAGTACCATGCTGTTTTGGTTACTGTAGCCTTGTAGTATAGTTTGAAGTCAGGTAGCATGATGCCTCCAGCTTTGTTCTTTTGGCTTAGGATTGCCTTGGCAATGCGGGCTCTTTTTGGTTCCATATGAACTTTAAAGTAGGTTTTTCCAATTCTCTGAAGAAAGTCATTGGTAGCTTGAAGGGGATAGCATTGAATATATAAATTACTTTGGGCATTATGGCCATTTTCACAATATTGATTCTTCCTATCCATGAGCATGAAATGTTCTTCCATTTGTTTGTGTCCTCTTTTATTTTATCGAGCAGTGGTTTGTAGTTTTCCTTGAAGAGTTCCTTCACATCCCTTGTAAGTTGGATTCCTAGGTATTTTATTCTCTTTGAAGCAATTGTGAATGGGAGTTC
The DNA here is from genome assembly GCF_000001405.40 of Homo sapiens. Classification (NCBI taxonomy): domain Eukaryota; kingdom Metazoa; phylum Chordata; class Mammalia; order Primates; family Hominidae; genus Homo; species Homo sapiens. Next base: position 49,280,145 of record NC_000006.12, on the reverse strand, counting down.
ACTCATGATTTGGCTCTCTGTTTGTCTGTTATTGGTGTATAAGAATGCTTGTGATTTTTGCACATTGATTTTGTATCCTGAGACTTTGCTGAAGTTGCTTATCAGCTCAAGGAGATTTTGGGCTGAGATGATGGGGTTTTCTAGATATACAATCATGTCATCTGCAAACAGAGGCAATTTGACTTCCTCTTTTCCTAATTGAATACCCTTTATTTCTTTCTCCTGCCTGATTGCCCTGGCCAGAACTTCCACCACTATGCTGAACAGGAGTGGTGAGAGAGAGCATCCCTGTCTTGTGCCCGTTTTCAAAGGGAATGCTTCCAGTTTTTGCCCATTTGGTATGATATTGGCTGTGGGTTTGTCATAAATAACTCTTATTATTTTGAGATACATCCCATCAATACCGAATTTATTGAGAGTTTTTAGCATGAAGAGTTGTTGAATTTTGTCAAAGACCTTTTCTGCATCTATTGAGATAATCATGTGGTTTTTTTCTTTGGTTCTGTTTATATGCTGGATTACGTTTATTGATTTGCGTGTGTTAAACCAGCCTTGCATCCCAGGGATGAAGTCCACTTGATCATGGTGGATAAGCTTTTTGATGTGCTGCTGGATTCGTTTTGCCATTATTTTATTGAGTATTTTTGCATCGATGTTCATCAGGGCTATTGGTCTAAAATTCTTTTTTTGTTGTGTCTCTGCCAGGCTTTGGTATCAGGATGATGCTGGCCTCATAAAATGAGTTAGGGAGGATACCCTCTTTTTCTATTGATTGGAATAGTTTCAGAAGGAATGGTACCAGCTCCTCCTTGTACCTCTGGTAGAACTCGGCTGTGAATCCATCTGGTCCTGGACTGTTTTTGGTGGGTAGGCTATTGATTATTGCTTCAATTTCAGAGCCTGTTTTTGGTCTATTCAGAGATTCAACTTCTTCCTGGTTTAGTCTTGGGATGGTGGATGTGTCCAGGAATTTATCCATTTCTTCTGGATTTTCTAGTTTATTTGTGTAGAGGTGTTTATAGTATTATCTGATGGTAGTTTGTATTTCTGTGGGATTGGTGGTCATATCCCCTCTATCATTTTTTATTGTGTCTATTTGATTCTTCTCTCTTTTCTTCTTTATTAGTCTTGCTAGTGGTCTATCAATTTTCTTGATCTTTTCCAAAAAAGCAGCTCCTGGATTCATTGATTTTTTTGGAAGGGATTTTTGTCTCTATCTCCTTCAGTTCTGCTCTGATCTTAGTTATTTCTTGCCTTCTGCTAGCTTTGAATGTATTTGCTCTTGCTTCTCTGGTTCGTTTAATTGTGATGTTAGGGTGTCAATTTTAGATCTTTCCTGCTTTCTCTTGTGGGCAGTTTGTGCTATAAATTTCCTTCTACACACTTCTTTAAATGTGTCCCTGAGATTCTGGTATGTTGTGTCTTTGATCTCATTGGTTTCAAAGAACATCTTTATTTCTGCCTTCATTTCGTTATGTACCCAGTTGTCATTCAGGAGCAGGTTGTTTAGTTTCCATGTAGTTGAGCGGTTTTTAGTGAGTTTCTTAATCCTGAGTTCTAGTTTGATTGCACTGTGGTCTGAGACACAGTTTGTTATAATTTCTGTTCTTTTATATTTGCTGAGGAGTGCTTTGCTTCAAACTATGTGTTCGATTTTGGAATAAGTGCGATGTGGTGCTGAGAAGAATGTATATTCTATTGATTTGGGGTGGAGAGTTCTGTAGATGTCTATTAGGTCCACTTGGTGCAGAGCTGAGTTCAATTCCTGCACATCCTTGTTAACTTTCTGTCTCGTTGATCTGTCTAATGTTGACAGTGGGGTGTTCAACTCTCTCATTATTATTGTGTGGGAGTCTAAGTCTCTTTGTGGGTCTCTAAGACTTGCTTTATGAATCCGGGTGTTCCTGTATTGGGTGCATACATATTTGGGATAGTTAGCTCTTCTTGTTGAATTGATCCCTTTACCATTATGTAATGGCCTTCTTTGTCTCTTTTGATCTTTGTTGGTTTAAAGTCTGTTTTATCAGAGACTAAGATTGCAACCCCTGCCTTTTTTGTTTTCCATTTGCTTGGTAGATCTTCTTCCATCCCTTTATTTTGAGCCTATGTGTGTCTCTGCACGTGAGATGGGTCTCCTGAATACAGCACATTGATGGGTCTTGACTCTTTATCAAATTTGCCAGTCTGTGTTTTTTAATCGGAGCATTTAGCCCATTTACATTTAAGGTTAATATTGTTATGTGTGAATTTGATCCTGTCATTATGATGTTAGCTGGTTATTTTGCTCGTTACTTGATGCAGTTTCTTCCTAGCCTCAATGGTCATTACAATTTGGCATGTTTTTGCAGTGGCTGGTACCGGTTTTTCCTTTCCATGTTTAGTGCTTCCTTCAGGAGCTCTTATAGAGCAGGCCTGGTGGTGACAAAATCTCTCAGCATTTGCTTGTCTGTAAAGGGTTTCATTTCTCCTTCACTTATGAAGCTTAGTTTGGCTGGATATGAAATTCTGGGTTAAAAATTCTTTTCTTTAAGAAAGTTAAATATCGGCCCCCACTCTCTTCTGGCTTGTAGAGTTTCTGCCAAGAGATCTGCTGTTAGTCTGATGGGCTTCCTTTTATGGGCAACCCGACCTTTCTCTCTGGCTGCCCTTAACATTTTTTCCTTCATTCCAATTTTGGTGAATCTGACAATTATGTGTCTTGGAGTTGCTCTTCTCGAGGAGTATCTTTGCAGCGTTCTCTGTATTTCCTGAATTTGAATGTTGGCCTGTCTTGCTAGATTGGGGAAGTTCTCCTGGATAATATCCTGCAGAATGTTTTCCAACTTGGTTTCATTCTCCCTGTCACTTTCAGGTACACCAATCAGATGTAGGTTTGGTCTTTTCACATAGTCCCATATTTCTTGGAGGCTTTGTTCATTTCTTTTTACTCTTCTTTCTCTAAACTTCTCTTCTCACTTCATTTCATTCCTTTGATCTTCAATCACTGATACCCTTTTTTCCAGTTGATTGAATTGGCTAATGGAGCTTGTGCATTTGTCATGTAGTTCTCATGCCATGGTTTTCAGCTCCATCAGGTCATTTAAGGACTTCTCTACACTGGTTATTCTAGTTAGCCATTCGTCTAATCTTTTTTCAAGGTTTTTAGCTTCTTTGCGATGGGTTCAAACTTCCTACTTTAGCTCGGAGAAGTTCGATCATCTGAAGCCTTCTTCTCTCAACATGTCAAAGTCATTCTCCTTACAGCTTTGTTCAGTTGCTGGCAAGGAGCTGTGTTCCTTTGGAGGAGAAGAGGCACTCTGATTTTTAGAATTTTCAGCTTTTCTGCTCTGTTTTTTCCCCATCTTTGTGATTTTATCTACCTTTTGTCTTTTATGATGGTGACATACAGATGAGCTTTTGGTGTGGATATCCTTTCCGTTTGTTAGTTTTCCTTCTAACAGTGAGGACCCTCAGCTGCAAGTCTGTTGGAGTTTGCTGGAGATCCACTCCAGACCCTGTTTTCCTGGGTATCAGCAGCAGAGGCTGCAGAGCAGCGATTATTGCTGAAGAGCAAATGCTGCTGCCTGATCGCTCCTCTGGAAACTTTATCTCAGAGGGGTACTGGGGCATGTGAGGTGTCAGTCTGCCCCTGCTGGTGTGTCCAGAATTGGTGGGTTCTTGGTCTCACCGACTTCAAGAATGAAGCCACGGACCCTCGTGGTGACTGGTACAGTTCTTAAAGGCGGCATGTCCGGAGTTTGTTCCTTCTGTTGTTCGGATAAGTTCGGAGTTTCTTCCTTCTGGTGGGTTCGTGGTCTTGCTGGCTCAGGAGTGAAGCTGCAGACCTTTGCAGTGAGTGTTACTGCTCATAAAGGCAGTGCGGACCCAAAGAGTGAGCAGCAGCAAGGTTTATTGCAAAGAGCAAAAGAACACACCTTCCATAGTGTGGAAGGGGACCCTAGTGGGTTGCCACTGCTGGCTGGGGCAGCCTGCTTTTATTCCCTTATCTGGCCCCATCCACATCCTGCTGATTGGTCCCTTTTACAGAGAGCTGATTGGCCTGTTTTGACAGGGTGCTGATTGGTGCGTTTACAATCCCCGAGCTAGACACAAAAGTGTTCCAAGTCCTCACTAGATTAGCTAGATACAGAGTGCTGATTGGTGTGTTTACAAACCCTGAGCTAGACACAGAGTGCTGATTGGTGTATTCACAATCCCTTAGCTGGACATAAAGGTTCTCCAAGTCCCCACTAGACTCAGGAGCCCAGCTGGCTTCACCCAGTGGATCCCACACCGGGGCTGCAGGTGGAGCTGCCTGGCAGTCCTGCGCCTTGTGCCTGCACTCCTCAGCCCTTGGGTGGTCAATGGGACTAGGCACCATGGAGCAGGGGGCGGCACTCATCGGGGAGGCTCAGGCCATGCAGGAGCCCATGGCGCGGGGCAGGAGGCTCAGGCATGGTGGGCTGCAAGTCCCAAGCCCTGCCCTGTGGGGAGGCAGCTAAGGCCTGGCAAGAAATTGAGCACAACGCCAGTGGGCGGGCACTGCTGGGGTACCTGGCACACCCTCTGCAGCTGCTGGCCTGGGTGCTAAGCCCTTCACTGCCCGGGGCCGGCAGGGCCAGCCGGCTGCTCTGAGTGCAGGGCCCACGGAGCCCACACCCATCCGGAACTCGTGCTGGCCCACAAGAGCTGCACGCAGCCACGGTTCCTACCCATGCCTCTCCCTCCACACCTCCCTGCAAGCTGAGGGAGCTGGCTTCAGCCTTGGCCATCCCAGGAAGGGGCTCCCACAGCACAGCGGCAGGCTGAAGGGCTCCTCAAGCGTGGCCAGAGTGGATGCCGAGGCCGAGGAGGCGCCAAGAGTGAGTGAGGGCTGTGAGGACTGCCAGCACACTGTCACCTCTCACTTGGGGGGTGCCTCCCAGTTAGGCTACTCGGGGGTCAGGGACCCACTTGAGGAGGCAGTCTGTCTGTTCTCAGATCTCAAACTCCATGCTGGGTGGACCACTACTCTCTTCGAAGCTGTCAGGCAGGGACATTTAAGTCTGCAGAGGTTTCTGCTGCCTTTTGTTTGGCTATGCCCTGCCCCCAGAGGTGGAGTCTACAGAGGCAGGCAGGCCCCCTTGAGCTTCGGTGGGCTCCACCCAGCTCAAGCTTCCTGGCCGCTTTGTTTACCTACTCAAGCCTCAGCAATGGCTGGCACCCCTCCCCAAGACTTGCTGCCGCCTTGCAGTTCGATCTCAGACTGCTGTGCTAGCAATGAGCGAGGCTCTGTGGGCGTGGGACCCTCTGAGCCAGGCACGGGATATAATCTCCTGGTGTGCCATTTGCTAACACCATTGGAAAAGTGCAGTATTAGGGTGGGAGTGACCCGATTTTCCAGGTGCTGTCTGTTACCGCTTCTCTTAGCTAGGAAAGGGAATTCCCTGACTCCTTGTGCTTCCCGGGTGAGGCGATGCCTTGCCCTGCTTCGGCCCCCACTGTCTAACAAGCCCCAGTGAGATGAACCTGGTACCTCAGTTGGAAATGCAGAAATCACCCGTCTTCCTCATTGCTCATGCTGGGAGCTGTAGACTGGAGCTGTTCCTATTCAGCCATCTTGGAACCTAAGCCAAATAAATACTTTTTAAAGGTACGTTTTAACTTGTAATTTGCCATGTGACCCTCATTTATAGTTTTATGTATCTGCGAGGTGCTCAGAAAGCTTAGGGAAGACCATAAGTTCCACAAGAAAAATATCATGTTGTATATGTAAATGCATTATTTATAAGACATCAAGCAAAATATTGATAATTTTCATATAACTAATTATTTTCTAAAGGTAACAATATCAATAGAAATCATTAATTGGACTCCTACTGAATCAGAAGTCTAAATTAAATGTCATGCAGTATACAGAATGAAGACCATTTAGTGCCCATGATGGCAGTCTTTATGCAGTTTGTTAGACGTGCTTTCTATTTCTTGAAATGCTGCACTAACTCTTTGAGGTGTCTATCCTTTGTGATTCTGTTATTTCTTGTGATGTCTTTGGAGAGACGTCAACATGTAATATGAAGAAAGCATCCTGTATCTTCAAAGGACAGTGAGTGTTTGACAATCTGACCCATGAAAGACAGGACTCTCTAATAAGAATTTGTTTCAGGGATAAAAAAACTGTGAATTTGTTTTAAAAGCAGCAAGTCCTTCAGGTCAGAAGCCAGCAAGGCAAAAGCAGCTTTAAAAATATGTCCATAAGATGAAAACTGGTTATAAACAGCATATGAAACCAAGGAAATAACTTCCCTTTGACAAAACAAAATGGTGATTTCACCATAGATATATTTCTGATATGTTTGTCTCATTTCATAGATTTCAAGGTTATGGCATGTCAGCAGCACCTTCACAGTCATTTAAGCTGGTGTCTGCTCTCTGTACAGATGCAGAATCTGAGGTAGGACTGTTGGAACCACTAGTTGTCCCCAATGGGCTCATCCTGCCACTATTCTGCCACTTCTGAAGATGTTGCTTGTAGCAAACTGAACATGTTCCATTAGTCCTAGGATTTCCATAAAAGTCACATCCTGTTTATATGCTATAAACATATGCAGAGTGATTGTTATGGTACTTCTTTTTATAGTTCACATAAAAAACAATTTCTACCTAAATCATGAATTTTATAAGTTTTGGTTTTAAAACATGGCCTTCTCACCTTGATTTTTGTGTTAGAGGTTTTCAAAACATTAACAGTTTAGTTTCTGTGCTAAGACATTAACTATGTTAAGAAGCTAAAGTTCATTTGCCTCTGTTTTTTATATTTAGCTTGCAAAAAATGACCTTCTAAAAAATAATTCAGGTCAGTTTCTCCTGCTTATTGGGTCAACAAATGTCAAGTGTTGAAACAGTGTCAAGCTGAAGCCAAAAGCAGAGCTCCAAAGAAGTAACAAGGTGATATTTTTAACAGGTAATTGCCAGCGATTTTGCCTAAGCCACAAAGATGCAATACACATTTGACCCAATTCTTAGGTTGGGGACTTTTTTTCCCTTCAACATATAATAAAATATAATAAAAGTAATAAAATGGTTTTCATGAACCACCATTTTTCTTTCAACAAAATACTTATTTTAATGAGTCAGGTAAGAAGGCAGCATTTGCTTAATTATCACAGCTGAAAAAATAACTCGAACCTTGTAATTGTGAGAGTACTTTGCAATTCCTTGTTACTTGTGATTCTTTTGCATTTTTAAAAATAACTAAGGAATAACCTTAGTAAAAAGTTACCATGGGCAGGGCATTTGATTTTGTGTCCTTTCTCTTCATCTGTCCTTTGATGTCAGTCCATGTTTGATTGGAACCCCAGAAAGATGACTTTAAAGTGATTAGATTCAAATGATTGAGAGAGAATAACGTCAGAATTTGAAAGTCATGAGACCAGAGTAGAAAACAAAAACCATGGACCAATAGGTCTATACATAGAAGTGGGGCTTGGGAAGTGAAAAAAATAAAAGAGGATTAAATTAATGATTTTGGGGAAACAGGAAGATATGATTAGGATGGTATTGAAAGTGGGGTAGAAAAATTTTACATACTTATGAGAAGCTTATCAGAACACTGTAAAAATTCCTTTCTGGAAAAGGTCTGACAACATTCATGATGAACACCCTTACTAGCGTTTAGGCATAGACTAGCATACAGTCTCTTCTGTATAGTTAATTTGCCCTCAAGGAAGAAATGCATCTTTTTAGAGTCAAAGTGCTTTTAAGGAAATTGCATGTTAAATTTTCCTTGGTGGGTTTTAAAGGCATATGTCACCTATTTCTACCACGTTAGTTAGACACAATCTCTTTCACTAAAATCCATATTCAGAGAGGACTGTTTCTGCAGGGGTTATTTGCCATCACTGGGGGTATATCTGCTGGCTGTGAAATCACACTTATTTTAATGTCCCTAGTTGCTTAAATCCTAAGTGGATGACTATTTTGTTTGAGACTCACAGAAAAGAGAAGGTACATTTTAGATCTTAATCCAACATACACATACATGCAGATACACACATGTACATACATGTGAAAATTTACACATTTGATTTTAAAATTTAAAAGTAATGCTTACTCTTTGCTCAGTACATCTTGATATTTTACATTCTATTATATTTCTTTAAAAATTCTCTAAATTGACTCCAACAACCCCTAATGTGTAGGAGTATGGCTGCAATTTAAAACATTGCCCTAATTTGTTATTTAAATAAGTTTTTGGTTTTCTTTAAAGCATTACTGGGTTTGAGCCAGGAGTTTTGAATACAAGTAAAAATGAATTTCCATGGACACTGGAACAAAGAACAAAAGACACACAAGAAAAGTCATTTCAGGCCAACAAGGCCAAGAACGAGTCAGCTTATTTGACAAATGTTTTGGGCTACTGTTCCAAGACAGGTACTGCTAGGAGCTCAGAATTCTGCAACAAATAAGTTAGAGAAGGTAGCTGGTTTCAAGGAATCCATAATCTTTTAGAGAAAAAGATAACTTAATAATCAATAAAGTTGTGCATGACAATTTTTACTACTAGAGAAATAATATTCTCTTATTGGAACAGAGCACAAAGATTTAATTGAATATAAACAAAGGGAAACTTCCTGTGGGAAAAAAGTTTTGATTCATAAGTAGGACAAGAATAGTATGTAGGAGTCCCTGTGTAGGTGTGTAGTAAGGGTAGGCAGGAGGATTAGAAATGAAGTTTTAAGCAAATAAGAATATTATAATGCCCTGAGGTAAGATTCTGATTTCAAAGAGTGATGGGAGGTGGTAGGAGTATATGCCTTGAAAAAAATCTCCATTGTTGATACAGAATGCAAAGAAAAGTCCTAAGTCTGGACTAGGAAGTCATCGATAGTTAAGGAACCCTCCATGTGAGGTGGGAAAAGCCAAGAGAGTAGAATGTCACAGAGTTAAGGGGAGAAAATGTTGGATAGAAGGGAATGAATAAGAGTGAATGAAGAAAAGAGTTAAACATAATAAGGACTAAAAACCATCACTGAATTTCAGTAAACTCAGGTCTTTGCTAAGCTTAGAAACAGCAGTTTAAGTGTGATAGTAACAGTAAAAGCCAGGTCATGGTGGCTTGAAGAGAGATTGATGGTAAGAAAATGATAATATTAGTCTGGATAACATTTGAAATTTTGTTTTGACAAAAAAGGGAGGGATATAGGACATTTGCTGAACATGTAAGGGGAAACAAGGAAAGATTTTTAAAAAATACAATATGGAAAATTTCAACTATAAACCAAGAAGGAGAAAACAACATAATAAACTCCACGTATTCATCATTCAGCTTAAACAGTTATCAAGTTTCTGATTTTGTTTCACTTGTACCCAAACCAATTCCTCTCTTCCTCCATATTATTTTGCAGCAAATCCTAAATACCACGCAAATTTGTCAACATATATTTTAACATGTATCCTTAAGAAATAAATCTTCTTTTTAAACTAATCACAATACCATTATCCTAGTTACAAATTAACAATAATCTTTAGCATTACTAAATACCTAGTTAGTATATAAATTTTTACTGTTGTTCCATAGATATTTTTACCATTAATTTATTCAATTCAGGATTGAAATACAACACAAACACGGGAAAAGTCACTTCTGTCCAGGGCCAACAAATTGTCAAACAATTCATTTGACAAATATTTTTGGATATTGTTCCATGATAGGTAGTACTGCTAGGAGCTCAGGTTCTGCAACACAGAAGATAGAGAAGGTTCCTGGTTTCAGAGAATTCATACACATTTAATGAAAAATATAATTGAATAAGCAATATGAGTATTTAATAAGCCTCTAAGTAAGGTATAGGAAGAGTAGGAGGGAAAATTGAAAATAGTTTTAAGCAAAGAAGAGAGTATGATAATGCCCTGAGATAAGATTCTGATTTCAGACTGATGGGAGGGTTAGGAGTATATTCCTTGAAAAACCTCCATCGTTGATACAAAATGCAAAGAGAAGTCCTAGGTCTGGACTAGGAAGGTTACTGTTATTCAATTCAGGATTGAAATAATTGAAATCAATTCATTGTGATTGAATGTCGTATCTCACAATCTCTTTTAAACTACAGTATAGGTTTCCTCTTTCCTACCCACTTTTTTCCTTTATATTGATTTATTCAAAGAATTGGATCATTTGCCCTGCAGAGTTTGTTGTGGTTTGAATTTTACTGGTTGCTGAACAGTACTGTATAATGTGTTCCTATATCCTTCATATTTTCTGTAAATTGGTATTTAAATCTATAATCTTGATTTTAGTGTAGTTCCATTTTTTTGAAGACTGCTGTATAGACAGTGGTTCGTTCTTTCATCTGAAGGCACAAAGTGTCTGGTTGTCTATATTATTGGGAAATTAGTAGTGATTAAGAATCATTTCCTAGATTTGTTAATTCATAAACAGCTTCAAAATGTAATATTCCAATTCTGTATTTCCATTTTCAATCATTAGCTGGAGTAAGTCTATAAAGAAAGGCTTTCTCTCATTAACTATTTAGTTACTCTTAAGTACAATTTGTACAGAAGATAAATGTTTGATTAGTTTCTTTTATTAACTGTTGTCACAATTATGAGTTAATTGCCAGACATCTTTGAAAGATGACCAGAGCATTTTTAATTTTTGGTTTTATAAAACGATCATTGTGAGCACAATAATTAAAAATTATTTGACAAATTTTATCCATTGCAGTGGTTATTCCTACTGATTCTCAAATTGTACCACGCCTGACTCATATAAAGCACTTTAAGTTACTGAGTCATTCTGACAAAAGCCTCAGGAGTCTTTGATGACTCTTGTTTTGAGACTTGTAAAATGTTATAGACACATTTTCTGCACTTTCCAGCCCAGACCTGTAATAATTTTTTTAAAATAAAAGATTTATATTTAGCACATAATAAAAAATAAATAAAAAGCCCAAAGAGGGAGACATTGAAGATGTGAAAGGGAAAGGAGAGACAATAAATAAAAGGCCTTTTCTTTTTTTTATTGAGACAGAGTTTCGCTCTTGTTGCCGAGGCTGGAGTGCAATGGCGCGATCTCTGCTCACTGCAACCTCCACCTCCGGGGTTCAAGCGATTCTCCTGCCTCAGCCTCCTGAATAGCTGGGATTACAGGCATGCACCATAATGCCCAGCTAATTTTGTATTTTTAGTAGAGATGAGGTTTCTCCATGTTGGTCAGTCAGGTCCTGATCACCTGACCTCAGGTGATCTGCCCGCCTCTTCCTCCCAAAGTGTTGGGATTACAGGTGTGAGCCACCGTGCCCAGCCAATAGGAGGCCTTTTCTGAGAAGAGGGCTGTGTATCGAATCCCAGATCCTGGAATGAGGGCTTAACTACAGTTAGGAGGCAAGAAGGAGGAACGTGTGGAAGCAGACAGGTTCAACTGTATAGGCACAACAGTGGGAAGTTGAGGAATTTTAGTCTATTGATTTCCTTTTTCTGTTGAACAGGTAGTAAAGTCATATGTTGAATTTGAGGGGGAAGAGACTATGAAGCTTGTTGAAGAGAAAAGGAGGAAGCTTGTCCATCTTCATCTTTACTTTCCTAGACTTTTCAAATTGAAGCTTCTCCACTCACTGATGGCTTGAGTTGCTCTACTAATTCTCTTGCATTTTCTTTTCTTTTCTTTTCTTTTCTTTTTTTTTTTTTTTTTTTTTTGAGACAGAGTCTCTTCTCTTCCATTTTCTAAATTGTCTCTGACATTTGCCTGGAACCACACACAATATTCCAAGCGTGGTCACAACCATTATTCTATACCAAAGTGGCCATGTTGCTGTTTTTACTTAAATGTTTCTACAAATATTTGTATGAACAAATGTAATTTTATATGAATGCACAATTAGTAGCAGGTTTTACCTGTTGTGATATTGTTATTGGTGCACTTTTTCCTTTTTCTTTTTTGCTTGGCTCCTTATGCTCCATCTCCTCCCACCCTTCCTCCAACTCTCCAACGCTGTCACTTATGTTAACAATGCAGCGTATATTCCTACATTTTTTTCTCATTTTAATGTAATCATGTTATTGGTCAGGTCCAGGTCTGTTCTACCCCTGTGCAATAATTCAATCACCGTGACGTGGGTTTTGCAAAAGAGAAAAGATTTATTCACAAGTCCACCAAGCAAGGAGGTGGGAAAATGCTTTCAAATCCACCTCCTTGAAGATAGGTTGAGGGATATTTATGTGTTAGAGAAATGGAGTGGTCTAATGCGTGAGGAAAAGTGATTGGCAGTACGGAGAAATGAAGTAATTGGTTCTTTCTGACCAAGTGTAGTTTGGGTTTGCAGCATTTTATAGGACACATGTATAGAAAATGGCAGCGTTAGTGTGATATGAGGGTGGAATTTTGGGCCCCCTGACAACAAAAGGCCACCTCTCCAGCACTTGCACCACCCTAGTTGAACGGTAGGTGGTCCAACCAATTTGAACTGGATAGGAGCTGGCCCAAGTTCCTGAAAAACAGCTTGATCAACTATTACTGTGGTGACCTATGAATGCTGTCTATAAAAGTAGCCAGTGAAGGTAAAATTTCAGCATTCAGTGGGGAAGTCATCAGCTACCATGGCCTTTAGCTTCATGAAAAAGGAAACAAAAGAATTACACAATCAAGCAACCAGAAGCAAGCAGGGCAGGCAGATCTGATCAAATTAACCCTTTGGTTTCAATCACATGGAAACATATGCATGAACATACATAAATGCCTATCTATCAATCAATCATCTATCTCTTTATATATTTGTTATTTTTCAAAATGAGATAATCATATTTGTTTTTTGTGAAATTTTTTTTCTCAGTGAAAAAATTATAGAAATCCTTCTAGTTAAATTTAAAAAATTTTAATTTTTTTATAGTGAGCTACATATTTAACCAACCATTTTCCTATTGATTGATATTAAACTTTCCCCAGTTTTTTGCCACTGAGAACAATGTTGCCATTAATAATTTTGTAGTTATATCTTTGTATACTACCACCTTTATTTTTATGGGATAGGTTCCTAGGAAGGCTATTTCTTTGGATTTTAAAGGATGCTGCCAGATTGCTTTCTGAAAAGGTTGTAAAACTTGACATTTCTACCACCAGAGGAAAAATGTATTATTTTCCAGGGTTCTCATGATAGGAGATATATTTCTCTCTCTCTCTTTAGAAAATGTTTTCAAGTCTAATAAATGTAAAGTAATAATTTAATTTTAATCTAATTTGCATTTTGCCAATGACTAGGGAAACTGAACATCTTTTTATGTCATTTTGCTCTTTCAATTTATTGTTCCAGGAATTAGTCAATGAATATACTTTGCCTATTTATTCATTTGGGCTTTTTATCTTTGTTGTAAATTTATAAAAATTCTCTGTGTGTTGTGTATGTGTGCACATGCATGTGTGTATTCACACACGTGTGTTGGTACATGTGTCTATGCTTACTACCTGCATAACAGAATTTTTTTCTGAATATTTTACTCACTTAAGTCTGCTTGTGGTTCTTTTGTAAATAAAATATATTGTTAAGCAATTTTTTCCCCTTTATTGTATACAATTTTCCAGTCTTATGTAAGAATGTGTTACCAGATCCTTAATGGGCTTGTAATATCCTACATTTTTATAAGCTTTTATTTTAGCTTATGTTACATTTAATGCCTTAATACACCTAGCTTGTTTTTTTATATGTGGCAGATTCTGTGGGTTGTCTTATTCTACAATTGCCCCAAATCCTGCCCTCCTGGTATTTTTCTGTTAACAAGGGTAGAAACTAACACATGAGATCTCCGACTTCTTTGCAGTTTTGAGGTCATCTAACCCTGGTTGGGTTATAGGGCAAACATCCTTTTCTAAGTAAAAACAAAATCCTGTTAAAAACAAAGGAAAAGGCTCATGAGACTCCCTTTCCCTACAATATTTTCTCTTCTTTATGAATGAAATATGGACATTATGGCTTCAGTTTTTCCATCAATCTTGCAGTGATGAGAATGAAAATCACACACTGAAGACGATGGAGCAGAAAGATAGAAAGCAGACTGTGTCATTGAGCAGTTGGCTGGGCTGAATCACACTCCATTAGACTTACATGAAAATACAAACCTTCCTATGTTTAGGCTACTATATTACAAAGTTTTTGTCACTTAAAATTGAAAGCAATCCTAACAGGTTCAGGGTCCCACATATATTTTCTTCTTCATAGGAATATGACTACTTGTCCTGTAATCTATCTTTTTCCCCAAATTAAAATGCCATTCTTACCATTTATTAAATTAGCATATATAGAAAGACCTATTTCTGGATTCTGTTCCACTGAGTTGTCTTTCTGTTTCCATGTCATTAGCATATTTATTTGATTAAAATTATTTTTATATATATGTATATATACGCACACACACACATTCACACGTAATGTTTTCTTAATTTCTTTGCTTTAGACATGGCAAGGGTACCTCAAATCTATTCCTTCCTTCAGGAGTCTTTCAAATATTTCAAGAAAATCGTTTGCTATTGTTCATAATAGTAGAAGGAGGCAAATTCCTAAGCAGATAGGGGCAGGTCCCCGGTGAAACCAAACCTTCAAGCCAAAAACAGCCTGAAGCCTTAAAACCAGGCTGCCAGTTCCAGATGGAGTCTGCAACCAGAGTGAGAACTTCTATTCCTGTTTGCCCACTCTTTCCTGATTGGTTCTTTCTGAACAATGCTTTTTAACCAATTGAATGTTGCCTTTTCCAAGGTTACCTACAGCCCGCACTTTCTTCATTCTGAGCCTATATGATCCCCAGACTCAGCCACACTTTGAGACTACCCAATTTCAGGTCGGGGCTACTCACAATTTATTGAGCTCTTCTGTCACTCAATAAAACTCTTCTCCACCTTGCTCACCCTCCAGTTTTCCATGTAACCTCATTCTTCTGGACATGGGACAAAATCCTGGGACTCACCAAACAGCCAGTGTGAAAGAAGCTGTAAAGCTGTAGTCCTCCCGTACTCTGTTGGCAACAGGTGGCTGCCCCACAAGACAGGAAGTGGCGGTGGCTCTTGGCCAGCCCAGGTGCTGCAGGCCTAGTGGGGCAATGGGATCGAACAAGCTGGAACATGCCCCTGTTTGCCAAAGAAAGGCTGTGGATGGCAGGAACGAACGAACTGCAACATGAACGAGCTGCAGCCCTTCTGGGGCCCACACCTCGGGACTGCCCTAGCTAGAACTGTAACACGCTGTAACACCCTCTTTGGGGCTCTGGGGTGGCTGGCATATCTCAGTTTTTTGGGTTCCACCGCATTCGCCTCGTTTAGATGCTGGCGCCTAAAGCAGAAGCTGCTTTGCAGTACACCTGGTTCAGCTACAGCCTTGCACAGAGCTGGTGACTGGAGCAGCCACACCACCACAGCAGTTGGCACAACTGGCTGGGCACCATGGCTGAACCCTGCACTGAATCACTCTCACACCCCTCACTGCTCCACGCCAGGGTTGTCTGTGGTGGATGTGAGATCTGGGCCAGCGAGCCTGGAGCTGAGCACAGCCTGCTGGTCAGATTGGGTGGTCATGAGCGAAACTCTAGCAGAGGCACCCCTGGTCACGGAGGTCTCCAGCTGGTGAAGCACCACCTGAAAGAATCCTATGTAATTTAGACTAAGGCATTACCAGAATGGCATTCTTGAAGAAGTTAAAAAAGGTAGTATAATGAAAGCAGCACTGCTTTGTAGCCAAGAGATTATCATTTTAATCCTTCCTGTAAAATTTTTTACCCTACCCATGTTCTTTTACTTCCCCTGTCTCTCACTGACTTATCCATGAAATTAGGGGTTGACAGAAGATAATCCCTGTGGTCCCATACAGCTCTAATTGTCTATGATTCCATGAATTTCTGGACTAGGACACTTGTCTGTAACTATTACATTGTTTCTCCTTCAAGTAATGAAAATATCTGTAATTAGAATCCATCATTTTTTAAATGTTTCTTGTATAATTATATTCAATGCTAAAAATAAAAATACATACATATATGAACTTTTATTCTTCTTTCATTGTTTGTAAGAGCACTTGGTGACCTGTGAAAAGAGATAAATTGAATTGCACTTGACTCACTCACTTATGGGTAGCTTCATACAGGCCTTAGCCTTGATAGTAGAAAACAGGCAGGCAGTTATCAAGAGCTATTATTCTGAGAACAAATTATTATATTAAAGAAAAAGTTGGGTTCATGTTTAGGTAAGAATAAACTTTGTCCAGGATTAGAAACTGCACTGCTATGTAGACAGTTGGTACCACTCAAAGCTATTGACACTTCTTTCTAGCCGTCACATCATCCTAGTTTCTTCATGCATACTAACAATCAGATTATATTTTGAACATATAAGAATGCAGAAAGTCATCCAGGCACAGTGGCTCATGCCTGTAATCCCAGCACTTTGGGAGGCTGAGGCTGGCAGATCACCTGAGGTCAGGAGTTCAAAACCAGCCTGGCCAACATGGTGAAACTCTGTCTCTACTAAAATACAAAAATTAGCCAGGTGTGGTGATGTGCACCTGTAATCCCAGCTACTTGGGAGGCTAAGGCAGGAGAATTGCTTGAGCCCGGGAGGCAGAGCTTGCAATGAGCTGATATCGCAACACTGCACTCCAGCCTGGGTGACAGAGTGAGACTCTGTCTCCAACAACAACAATAACAAATAGAATGCAGAAAGTCAAATCATATGCCCTTCTAATAGGCCTTCTCATCCACAGTATGGGAATAATTAGATTCAGATAATAATTTTATGCATTTTATACTTCCTATTCTGAAACATCTCAAGATACTAATTTAAAATGAATATGAAAAATTATTGAATTAAGGGAGGTATTCATTCTCCCTCCTTTCAGTTAATGTCACAAGTTGATTCTAGTTTTCTAGGTCATGGTTCTTCTCCAGGATTAAGACAAATGGATCAAACAGAAAATTGAGTCATCTAAAATTTATTTCCCTTTGTTTAACGTTAGGTTAGCTAGGAAATTTGAATATCCCAATTTATATTCAAATTTAATTTTAAAAATGATAACTAATGACCCCAATTCAAATAATTTGCAGAAGCTTATAGCCTTATAAATATGGATTATAATAAGAATAATGGTTTATAGATAATGGACTTTTTTTCTTTTTCTGGAATGTTCTTACAGCTGAGAGTATGAAAGATTGGGCCTACTGCATCCTATTCCTGTCTCTCTCTTTCTCTGTAACCTTATCTGTGACTTTGTTTAAGTTATTAATATTGCTGCCATCCTAGGAAAATGTAATTCAGAATAGACAGCATGAAAAGTGGGAATATCAGGATACAAACTTGACTACATTTTTCTTTTATTACTGATTTTCTACTTTTCTTTTCTGAGCTCCAGTAAAGGAAATAGAGATTGTTTGCCTTTCCTTCTCTTCCACCAGGTATGTGAAAGTCTGAAAGAGCCTGCTAGTAAAGTACCATTTGAAAAGGAGGAAGCAGGAAGCTAGGAGTGAACAAAGCATAGGGTTGATGGATACAGTGCTCACAAAATTGCCCCACCGTTGTCATTGATATCACCTTTAAACAAGTTTTAGAGAATTGAAACCAGATATGATGTGAAGTTATAGAAACAGTTTAATGGGGCCAATGGACAGGACCTTCTGGCAGGTAAGAACGTCTTGGATATAGAAGCTCCTAGACTCTACAGTCTCAATGCTATTAACTTACTTGATCTGTGACATTACGTAGGTAAATGACATCTCCTGAAGCGATTTTTCTCATCTGTAAAATGAGGTTAAAATGGGAATAATAATGATGTCTACTTTGGGAGCAGCTTACAAAGGGAAGAAAAGAGTATATAGTACAATGCCTGTGCAAAGCTAACATTCAATAAATGTTGACTGCCATCATTAGAGCCAGATAGACTGATAGCAGTGAGTTGATAGCAGGGCCAGTGGAAACCAACAAGAAGCTTTCTCATTAGCAGTGAGATCACAGATTCTGCATTCTCTCTGTGGAAGCAGTATAATACTCCCTAGGTTTCTTGATTCTTGTTGGTCTGTGAAAAGTGAAGAAGGAAAATAGGATATTACTTGTTCTACTGTTTTCTCCAACTAAATGAGGTGACAAAAAGCACAAGTGACTGATGTAAGGTACAGGAAATAATTCATAAGTTGCACCTTTCCTTCCTTTCTACCCCAAGCTCTCCAAAGCTTATAAGGAGGATTCAAAATGCATAGAATATGTGGAAACAAAAAAATGTAAAGTATGTTATTGTAAATGGCATGACCTCTAATTTAATGTATCACTCACAACTCATTCCTAGAAAACCAATACAAAGTGCTACACTCTTGGAAGATTTTTGGAAACATTGTATGTATTATTTATGTTTAAGAAAACTGAGGCAGAGAGGTAATATATCTTGCCCAATCATACAGAATTATTAAATGAGACTCAAACAACAATTCTATTAATCAACACTGCCTCTACTGAAAAGTTAATGTTTTATTTTATATGCTTTATATTGCTTGTGGGTAGGAGGTGTTGTCTAGGAAGTTTATGTGTTTACCTTTCATTGTCTTAAAAACATTAATGATACAGAGAATGTTTTTAATATTTCAGGGGCTTAAAATGTATAATTGAACACTTGGAGGGCACAGCATAATTTTCCTGTTCTTCATATTCTCCACTACACTGATTATTCTTTCAAGGTTGTAACAGGCTGCTGCTTCTACAAATGTAGTAATTACATGAGCATTGATACATTTCTAGATTTTAGTTTATTCTAAGAATAAATTTATTCTAATAATGAGATGCTCCAAGTTCATTAATTTTAGGAAAAAATGTTGTAAATTATATTGCGGGAATTAGGAGACTGTCAGGGATGTAGGGAAGAATTTGTAAGTATTTTGAGATATTTTAAAACATTCTAAAACATTAGTATATACTTATATTAATAGCATAAAATACAAAATATTTTCACTATTAAATACTTTAATTGCTTTTAAAATCAGCATTAGAGAAATCTGTTTTGTATTTTTTTCTCTTTTTCTTTTGGATAGCAGTTTTAGGTAGTTTACAAAGAGGTGAGTTCATTAACATTCCAATTATAATCAATCAATAAATATCTGTTTATATATACCTAATTTTTACTTCTAGATTGGTATCATATATTTACTGAGGTGGATTGAACCACTTCAAAACAACGTTAAAAATTTAATAACATCTAAGAATTCATGAGGAAAATTGACATTTGTTCATGAAACATGATCAATGAAATGTGCAGTGTTTCTGTGGAACTATTTCCAGGCAGCTGTTGCAAATGACCCTGATTTGAGAAATGCTGGGTTAACAGCATTGCTGTGGGGAATTAACTTGATGAAAGCTCTATATATCCTGCTAAGTGCTGCTTAATAGTGCCTAACTCCTCAAATAACTGTATTCAATAATAGCTAAACAACAATTAACAGCTAAAAATGATGTGCAAGTATCTACCATCTTATGAGATGGCAGAATGGGTGAAAGAGAAATAAGTAAGTTGTTTGAGGAAAACAACAACAACAACAAGAAACAGAACCAACTTCAATGAAATAATTCAAAGTGAACCAATCACTGCTATAAATGGACCAAGAGGCAGGGCTTGGTTAGGTAAATGGCCAGCTTCTTCATGAAGTATGTTCTAGTCTCTTAGGATGAACTAATTCTTCAGTTTTGACCTTTCATAGCACTGCTTGTACCTTTATGACTTGATTCATTTGGCTTTGAATTTTAGTTGTTTATATATTGGGCTCTGTACTAGCCTGTACTCTTGGGAATAGGGGCAATGACTTATTTGTCTTTGAATGCTTCAACTCTCACAACAATAAGTATATGGAATATTGAAAATATTTAATAAAATTAGGTAAGGAAATAAATAGGTAATATTTTAACTGTCAGTTTTTTGCTCTAGTCTATCAAATTAAAAAAATACAACAGGAAATCAGCACAGGAAAGTATTTTTAGCGCATCTTCCAATTAAGAGACAACGGATTATGATCAATTAAATTGATATTCTTCCTCAATATACATAAAGTTCAATTGCTTCTCATGTGGGCTAGAAAGAATGGTGTCTGCATATTCCAAGTGTGAGTAATAAGAAATACACAATCAGGCAATCAAGAGGAATTACCAAAAAGTAAGTGAGATGCTCACTGTGTAATAAAGCTTACTGAGAAACTGTGTTACCAGGACTCCCTGTAACCAAAGTACTGGTGTCAGATGCAGACGCTGAGCAAAAGAATGCATCAAGGATCTTGCCTTTTCTCTCAAGGAGCTAACATAGGAAAGGAGACTGGTCATAGGCCAATGAGATATTAATAGTACAGTAAGGGTTGTAATCATAATAAGTTGATGATGAACTTGAAGAAGAAAACTGAAATGCATTAATTGTATAAATGTCTTCAAATCAACAGAAAGTTTAATGAATCGCCACAGAAATACAGAGAAAGAAGTTGTGAACTATGGCCAAGCCAACAAGTTTTGGAAAGTTTCAATGAAAAGAAGAAATTTGAATTAGGGCTTCAAGGGTGACACAAGATTTCATTAAGTTAGAAAAATGGTATTTTTAGAAAGAATAAATTACATCAACAATGGTGCTGTGACACAGATGTATCAAACATAGTAAGTAGAGATCCGGTGTGGCTGGCAATTAAAACCTACAGATGACTTCTGAGCATGGGATGATGTGAAAAGAATTATAAAAATGCAATTCTGGTCAATGGGGATGGATACCTTGGATTTGAGGAAGACAGAAAGCTGGGTAAGTGTTGGGAGAAATTGTCCTGGTGAGAAATTGCTCACCAAAGAAGTAGATTAGTATTAGTGGAAAAAAAAAAAAAAAAAGGAAAGAAGAAGAAAGAAGAGAACATAAAAAGGGATTAATCTTCAGTGCTTCAGTGCTTTAGTGGCAACAAAATCATGACCCTTTCTATAGCTATAGGGAGAACAGAAGAGGGAAAGTTCTGAAGGGAGTGGGTGTCACCAGTGGAGGGTGTCCAGGTTCTTGGTGTCATGAACAAAGAATTGGACACAACACACAAACAAAGCAAGGAAGAAATGAAGGGATTTATTGAAAATGAAAACACACTCTACAGTGTGGGAGTGGGCCTGAGCATAGGGGATCAAAGGCCATGTTACAGAATTTTGGGGAGTTTAAATACCCTCTAGAGGTATTTAATATTCTCTAGAGGATTCCATTGCTTATTTGGGATATGCCCTATGTAAATGAAGAGGATGAAGTAAAATTACAAAGTCATTTACTTGGCCTATGCCCCATGGAGAGGATATTTCCTGTCATAGCTGAGGTGTGAATTGGCCTTAAGTTCCCTCCCTCCAGACCCTATTTTACTGCCTCAGTGGGGATAAATATTACAGTTTGGTGGAATTTGACACTGACATGACTTTTAAGCTTTTGAGAAAGTGTCTAGAAGACGTTTAGGGGCCTGGACCTTGATAGAGCTTTTGGTACCGAAGAAACATTTGCAGGCTCCTCAAGGAGGTGGTAGTTGAATAGTTGGTGGTGATTAAGCCCTTTGAGGACTGAGAGGGGAGAGCCTGAAGACAAGGGATGGAAAGGAAGACCTTATTTATGGTCTACATAATCGGGTCTACTCTGAATATTTACTGCGTCTCCTGCCCCTCATATGTTGAAATTCTAACCCCCAAGGTGATAGTATTAGGAGGTAGGGCCTTTGGGAGGTAATTAGGTTAAAGGGGCTTCTTTGTCATGAATAAAATTAGTGTCATTACAAACAAAGGCCTGAAGCAGCTCATTCACTCCTGCTACCATGTGAGGACACAAGAAGGTGCCATCTATGAACAAAGAAACAGGCTCTCATAAGACCCCCAATCTGCTGTTGCCTTTATTTTGGACTCCCCAGCCTCCAGAACTGTGAGACATAAATTTATATTATTCATAAAGTACCCAGTGTAAGGTATTTTCTTATAGTAGCCTGAATGGACTAAGACATAGTACAGGTGTCACAGACACTTCATTGATGTTATTTAAACAAGATGAAGATTGGAGTCCTAAAGAAAACTCACATTTGCTGAATGAAATGAGTGCAGACAGAAGAAGCATGTAGGAGAGGACAACCTCTCTGATGACAAAGCAAAATGTTTTAATGCAAGGAGTATCAAATACTGCATTAGGATGAAGACCAAGTATTTATTATTTAGGATGGTTAGAAACATATTCTGTTTTTATGTGAAAACATAGGCTAACTCTCCTCTTTTATATCTCTGTTGTTCTCCTCATCAGTCTGGAACCACGAGATCATCTTTAGTGCTAAACAGCCCACGCAGGATTGGAAAAGAATATTTTGTTGATTGCAGCATCCTGTGTCAACTGATTACTTTCTCTTCTATGCAGATTAGCTGCTGGGGATCCCAATTGCTCACAGTAGCAGCTGTTGTCACTGATTCTGTCACAAGCAGTGCTGAGCAGGAGTCAAGTCATGCTGGGGAGAAGGTGAAGGGAAATGAAACCTTTCTCATTTAGCAGAGTCGCTGCCTATTAGATAAGTAGACCTGAAAATCCAAAAAGTTTGCCTCTTGCTCTTCTCTGAGATTCATTATAGTTTGTGACTATCAAGAGAGTTGATATTCAAGATATATTTATTTATCTCATTTTAAATCATACTTTTGAAATATTTTAAAAGGTCATTGTTGCGCTGCTCTATTATAGGTCCTCTCTGTTGGGATGGGGGAGTGGACAGTTTGGGATGAAGCCCATATTCAAGAATCTCCTGCCTTCTTCAAGAAGTGAAGTTGTCAGAAAGGAGGGTTGCAAATCCCATTATGTTCCCTTCCCTTGAAATAAATCAGAAACAAACAGAAGAAACAAATAAACAATAAATAAGCAAATAAACTCCTGCAGGTTTATGTAAGTCCAGTCTCTTGTCATAGAGTCAGTAAATTGGACTTACTAATTTTTCCATAAAAAATATTTACTTCCCTTAAGAACCACATGTCCCGTTGTTTATGATAATTTGTTTATGTTGTTTATATACTATCATTACTATTACTATTACTAATTTTGCTTCAGCTGTTAGTTACTGTGAGGGTCGTTGAAACTTCAGACTATAATGATAAATTTGTTCATTTTTCTTATATCTTCATTAATTTTTTCCACAAATATTTTGAGAACAAGTTTGTAAAAGCTTAATCATTCAAATTTGTTATACTTTTCACATGAATTAAACTATGTTTTTCTAACAACAGAAAAGAATCACATGTTCTATTTCTGCCTTTGGTGGGTTCATTATGTTGAGTCATTATCCTTGCCTCAACAACTATCCTACTGACCTCTGAAGGTTAGCCTTTTTCTGTGTTTCTTGGAAAATAAAAAGCAGGAGCCTTGTTAAGCAAGTTGTATTTTTCCTTTCTCCTAAGAGTAATTACAAATAGATGCAGTCCTTTGCTTTGAGCCATCTTGAACTCCTTTACAAGATAAAAGTAGACAGTTAATCGTCTTTTACCAAGCCCTATCAAATTATTTGTTCATATTGCTAATACCAATATTTTAGCTCACTTTTATTAGACATTGTAAAACCTAATGTTTTTAATCCTAAAAAATAGCAATTTTATTTAAGAAGACAAAAATAATAAAATGATAAGATAGGACTCCCTGTCTCAAAACACAAGACAAACATAATTGTCATTGCCCAGTTTCACTAGGAAAGAAACTCTGAGGCAAGAACAAAAATGATAATGCAGCAATTTGAAGATAAAACTCAGCAAGCGGCCGGGCGCACTGGCTCACGCCTGTAATCCCAGTACTTTGAGAGGCCGAGGCAGGCGGATCACGAGGTCAGGAGATCAATAACATCCTGGCTAACACGGTGAAATCCCGTCTCTACTAAAAATACAAAAATTAGTCCCAGCTACTCGGGAGGCTGAGGTAGGAGAATGGCATGAACCCAGGAGGCGGAGCTTGCAGTGAGCCGAGATTGCGCCACTGCACTCCAGCCTGGGTGACAGGACAGGGCGAGACTCCATCTCAAAAAAAAAAAAAAAAAAAAAAAAAAAAAACAAACTCAGCAAGCATAGGTAAGGAAAGGAATAGTTGTGGGAGTTAATTCCAATATATTCTGGGATGTATCATTTGGCTCTTTCTGTAGAAACTCAAGATGTAAAATCCCTTCCTGTGACATGATATCTTATCTGAATTGGAAAGTGGGAGAAGGAGGCAGAAAATCTGGTCACGCAGCACATTGGCCCGGCTACGCACAGGCAATCAAGGGTACAAACATTGGCATTTCCAGAGCAAGGACCTGGCTGGCCCCAGACAGATGCGTCAAATGACCCCAGCATACTTCTTTCACGGCAGTTTCAGACATGTACCAGTATCAAGGGGGCTGCTGGAATCAAGGGAATTTGGGAAAGTGGTTAAGGTTTGTGTTTCATAAAATAATCTGAATTTTACAAAATAACAACAAAGCAATAAGTAACAATGAGTAACAGAGTTGTCAGGAATTGTCAAATGCAGATGAACACAAAAAACATGGTGATTTTAAGTTGGCTGTAAAAGACAGGCATCGTCTTTTATAATATGACTCTCAAGATTTGGTTTTACACTAATCAACATTTTATGCAACATGAGACATTGCAATGCTATTTTGATCCTATTTTCTACATTGGCATTCATATCACAGGCTCTGCAATTAGCATAGTGAAGAATTTTATGCTTCAAGTGATGTACTGACCACATTCTGGGTGAAAAACGATAGTCCCAAAGGACAACCAGCAGTGCTTTTACAACTCAGCTGGAAATTTTGCAGGAAATAATGTATACGATTAATAGTTTTTTAATATTTTTTTCTTATTCAAACTAACAATCAGCTTAATTTAGATCCTTGAGATTCTCCAATGTGTTCGCTAAAACCAGCTTTAAAATCCTCATGGTTGTCAATGTTAGGAAAATATCCTTACAAAAACAAAGAGGTGTCATAATTTGGAGACTCCTTATTTCAGCTCTTTCTGTGTTAGCAAACAGAGTTCAATTGTGGAAGAAAGAAAAAGAGAAGATGTGCTTAAAAAGAAAGATTTGTTTTTTTCATTTGACGCACAAAGATGTTGCAGCAAAGATAGCAGATTTGTAAAAAATCCTGGTTTACCAAAGAGTATGAGAGAGTGGAATATTGTATTTTCTCTTGACTTCACACTATCAGGATCTTCTGGTGCAGAAAGAAGCAGAGGAGATTCCCTGATAATTTCTTATTGATAGAGCCAATCCAGTTCCTGTTGTTCCAGTCTATCCCATCACAGAGGAGTAGTACAGTTGCAACAAGGATGTTGTAAATAAATAAATCTTCTCCTATTCAATGGGCACAAATTAATGGTAAATTTACTTAAACGCTAAGTTGCCTAACAAAGTTAATATTTGGGCCAGCTTTGATTAAATTGTTACCACCTACTGAGTGTTTTTACATGCCAGACACTGTTCTAAATATTTATAAAAATTTTAATCCTCACAATAACTGTAAAAGGTAAGTACTACTATTAATCCAATTTTATGAAGAAGGAAACTTAAGAACTTATATAACTTTCTCAGGGTCACACAGGCAGAGCTGGGATTTGAGCAGTCTGGGGCCAGCGGTTTCCTCTTAGCTAAAACCAATAGTTTCTTCTGTTTTTGTTTTTGTTTTTTGTTTTTTTGAGACGGAGTCTGGCTCTGTCGCCCAGGCTGGAGTGCAGTGGCACGATCTCGGCTCACTGCAAGCTCTGCCTCAGGGGTTCACGCCATTCTCCTGCCTCAGTCTCCCGAGTAGCTGGGATACAGGCGCCCGCCACCACACCCGGCTAATTTTTAGTATTTTTATAGAGACGGGGTTTCACTGTGTTAGTAGGATGGTCTTGATCTCCTGACCTCGTGATCCGCCCGCCTCGGCCTCCCAAAATGCTGGGATTACATGCGTGAGCCACCGCGCCCGGCCAGTTTCTTCATTTTTAACACTTCAAATAAAATATGCATGCTTGTGTGTGTGTGTAATAGAAATGTGAGTGCACGGGAGGCTGAGGCAGGAGAATGGCGTGAACCCAGGAGGCGGAGCTTGTAGTGAGCCAAGATCACCCCACTGCACTCCAGCCTGGGCGACAGAGCGAGACTCCGTCTCAAAAACAAAAATAAAAGACAATAAAAGAAATATGAGTGTATATGATTTCTTATTTTCCTTATTTGCTCAATAGCCAATATGGGACCTATTTTCTAAATAGGCCTCATCTCTCTCTACTTTATCAGAGAGTAAATGTAAATCAGGAAGAGAACCTGAGGTACCCTGTAATTATTCTTTACTCAGCTCTCAAAAGCCTTATATCAAATATGTTAAATAATCTACTTCCTTGTCTTTCATAAATGTGCTCCGGCTTCGTAAACCGTGAAAAGTGACAGATTATTTATTAAGTCACTTAACCACTAGCACATCCCCTCCCTTTCTCAAAGAGTGAGATATCACTCCAGCTGCTGAAAGTTAATAAACTCATGGCTAGGTGATTGAGAAGAGCTGTGATACATCTGTAACTGTCTCACAACACAAGGTAAATAAACTAGGAATTATCTTCTTACACTCACAGGGCTGCCAGGAGACAGAAAGCTTTTCCTCTAGATTCCACCAGATTTATTTCAAGTAACTTTTTGCTGGCTCTTGTAGGAATGCAAATTTACAGGGAGAGGAGGTCAGCTGAGGGCTTCATTTTACTCTTGGGATTCTGTCCCTAGGACAATTCCAATTTAAGATTTAAGATGGGCACAAATTTCACAGTAATTTCATCTTTGTCGTCTTCCATTGGGCATTCAGAAGCTATGCCAATGCACATTTAATTTTTAATTCAGTGTGAGGACAAATGGTTGATAATGGGAGTTACAATGATACAGTCTCAAGTTACTTACTTCACTTGATTCAGGTTTAACCTCTTTTTTTAAAAAACACTGTTTTTTTTTCTCTTATTTCCATTCTCACCTCCAGCATCCAGCTAGGGATTCTCTCTCTCTCACTCCCCACCCCCAACTCTGTCTCTGCAATTTGTACTGTGTACAGTACTTGAAGTTGCCTAGACTTGTGCACAACTGTACATAATGAACTTACTCACTCCCAGTTACTGGCATAGGAGGTCCCTGCTTTCTCATCACTCCTATTCAACGTAGTACTGGAAGTTCTAGCCAGAACAATCAGGCAGCAGAGAGAAATAAAAGGAATCCAAATTGGAAAAGAGGAAGTTAAATTATCTCTGTTTGCTGATGACATGATCTTATACCTAGAAAATCCTAAAGCCTCCTCCAAAAGACTCCTAGACTTGATAAATGACTTCAGTAGTTTCAGGATACAAAATCAATGTGCAGAAATCAGTAGCCAATAATGTTCAAGCTGAAAATCAAATCAAGAACACAATTCTGTGTACAATAGCCACACAAAAAATAAAATACCTAGGGATACATTTAACTAATGAGGCAAAAGATCTCTGCATGAAGAAGTATAAAACACCAATGAAAGAAATCACAGATGACACAAACAAATGAGAAAAGGTCTCATGCTCACAGATTAGAAGAATCAATATCATTAAAATGACCATACTGCACAAAGCAATATACAGATTCAATTTAATTCCTATCAAATTACCAACCTCATTTTTCACAGAATTAGAAAAAACAATCCTAAAATTCAAATGGAAACAGAAAAGTCTTGAATAACCAGAGCACTCCTAAGGAAAAAGAACAAAGCCAGAGCCATCCCTTGACCTGGCTTCGAATTATACTACAAGGCCAAAATAAACGAACAATTCATGGAACTGTAGTTCAACTGCATAATACCAGAATCAAGCTGATTATTTCTGCCTTTATATTTTATCACAGGAGTAACTTTTGACCACACAATGCTAATCCTAACATTTTGATTCACAGTGATAATACTTTCCCCACCTATTGAATTTTTTTTTTTAAATTATACTTTAAGTCCTGGGATACATGTGCAGGACGTGCAGGTTTGTTACATAGGTATACATGTGCCATGGTGGTTTGTTGCACCCATCAACCCGTCATCTGCATTAGGTATTTCTCCTAATGCTATACTCCCACACCCCCTCACTCCCCGAGAGGCCCCGGTGTGTGATGTTCCCCTCTGTGTCCATGTGTTCTCATTGTTCAACTCCCACTTATGAGTGAAAACATGCGCATGCGGTGTTTGGTTTTCTGTTCTTGTGTTAGCTTGCTGAGAATTATGGTTTCCAGCTTCATCCATGTCCCTGCAAAGGACATGAACTCATCCTTTTTTTATGGCGATTCCTCAAGGATCTAGAACTAGAAATACCATTTGACCCAGCAATCCCATTACTGGGTATATACCCAAAGGTTTATAAATCATTCTACTCTAAAGATACATGCACACATATGTTTATTGCGACTCTGTTCACAATAGCAAAGACTTGGAACCAACCTAAATGCTCATCAATGATAGACTGGATAAATAAAATGTGGCACATATACACCATGGAATACTATGCACCTATTGCAATTTTTTGGTGTTTGTTGATAAATTATGAGGATTACGCACTAGGTGTGTACAGGGTTTCATAGGTGCTTTGTAAACATCAGAGTCACTTGGGTCCTTTTCTCCATAAGCCTAAAATCAAATTACGCAACCAATGACCACTACTTTCCCAGACACTGTTCACAGGCTGCATGTTGATGAAGGGCAGAGAAAAAGTCCTCATAACTGATGTTTAGGTGGGAAGCACCTATGGCATTTTTAAGTTCTAGTTCAAAATAAGAAGCTCAGCTACATTTCATGTCCAAAGTAAAATAATCTATTTCACAACTTTTATTGAGCAGTTCCTTTGTGCCAGGTGCTATGCTGGCTCTGATACTAACACTTGAAGAAATACAAATTATTAATTTTGTACACAAGACATTCAATCCTGAAAAGAGGCACCCAGGGTATTAGAAATGCTCTCTCAGCAGGTAGGAGTGTTAATCTTGGTTTTGCCATTTTGTTTTTTTCCTATTTATTTATTTATTTATGAGACAGAGTCTCACTCTGTCACCCAGGCTGGAATGTAGTGGCACAACCTCAGCCCACTGCAACCTCCACCCACTGGGATTCTCCTGCCTCAGCCTCCCGAGTAGCTGGGACTACAGACGCGTGACACCACACCTGGCTAATTTTTTTGCATTTTTAGTAGAGACAGGGTTTCACCATGCTGGCCAGGCTGGTCTCAAATCTCTGACCTGAAGTGATCCTCCCACCTCAGCCTCCAAAGTGTTGGGATTACAGGTGTGAGCCACCACGCCTGGCTGGTTTTGCCATATTATTGAAATTTTAAACATCCAAAGGGCTTTTGACTTTTTGTTTTTGCTTTGATACTCAATGTATTTTAGCTGAAATTATTCCTGTAAGTATTTAATACTGCTGGTATAACTAATAAATAAAAACAAATATTTTATAAAGTTAAATTACTCAAGAGCTTAAATATTATCAACTTGATTAGTTAAATCTTTTAAAACATGTCAATAAAATTATGAGCTTTTCCTTTTTTTAATTGAAGAAACAGGGTCTTGCTCTGTACATCCGATATGAAGTGCAGTGGCGTGATCATAGCTCACTGCAGTCTCAAATTCCTGGGCTGAAGAGATCCTCTTGCTGCAGCCTCCCAAGTAGCCAGGACTGTAAGTACACACCACCATGCCTAATTAAAAAAACAAAAAAACAAAAAAAAAATCACTTATTCATTTATTTATTTTTTTAAAGAAATGGGACCTCAATATGCTGCTCAGGCTGGTATTTAACTCCTGGCCCTGCCTTGGCCTCCCAAAGTGCTAAGATTCGTTCTGAAATTACAAGTGTCAGTCTTATATCCAACTTTTCCTAAGTGTATTTAGCAACATAAACTTAGATAAGATAAACAGTAATCATGACAATACTCACAAAATTCAGTCTTATACATATGCTTAAGGTTTAAAAAACATGAATTCTAAATATAATTGATTCCTCATACTATAGAAATTTATTTTGTACCTTCTTGGGAGTAACAGAGTCATTTATTTTTATGATTTCAATAAATTTGAACAGAAAAAGAATAATGTTTGCATTAGTCATTGTTGCAGTGTCTGGACTGGGTCTTTGAGTGTTATATTGGATTTCTCATAGTTACAACTAACTTGTTTTCTCTATGGTATTATTGGGTCTAAGTTTTTACTTGGAACTCTTGCTTTCCTCTTCATTTCCTTGTCCAACCATCTATTCCTGGTTCCAATGTCTTTCATCTCAATTTTCTATTAGTGCATATATCTTATTAAAATTATGTTAGATATTTGAGAAAAAAAGTTTTGCAGACAAAGAAAGAATGTTCAGATATCAGTTTTTCTTTTAAATTTCTGTTTGTTTAGAGGAAGGGATTCTTTTAAATTTGTTTTAGGTAGTTGTAAATTCACATGCAGTTGTACGAAATAGTGAAGAGTTATCCCACGTACACTTTACCCAGTTTTCCCACTGGTAATATATTGCAGAACTAAACTACAACACCATAACCAGGGTACTACATTGATACAGTCAAGATACAGAACATTTCCGTTACCACAAGGACCTTCAGGTTGCCCTTTTATAGCCATACTAATGTACCTTCTGCCTCTAACCCTTTTTTAAACCTTGGAAACCACTAACCCGGTCTCCATTTCTATAATTTTGTCATTTCAAGAATGCTATATAAGGGAGATCATACGACATATAACCTTTTGGGTTTGTCTTTTTTTCACTAAGTAAATTTCTATGGAGATTCATCCAGGTTAATGCTGTTATCAATAGTTTGTTTCTTTTAATTGATGAGTAGTATTCTATGGTATGGATGTGCCACTATTTGTTTTACTATTCACACACCGAAGGACATCTGGGTTGTTTCTAGTTTCTGCATTTTACCAGGAAAAAATCCTGCTATTTTTGTCCAGGTTTTTGCATGGACACAATCTTCATTTCTCTAAAATAAATGTCCAGAAGTGCAATTCCTGGGTCATATGGTAGGTGCATGTTTAATTTTTAATTTTTAAAGAAACTGCCAAATTGTTTTTCAGAGTGCTTGTGCAATTGTATAGTCATGTATGAATTATTCAGTTTTTGTGAATCTTTGGCAGCATTTCTTTTTGTCATTAAACATTTTTTTAGTCACTCTGATAGGTGAGTAATTTTAATCTCACCATAGGTTTAGTTTGCATTTTCTTAATTGACATTAAGCATCTTTTCATGTGATTATTTGCCATCTGTGTCACCTATTTGGTGAAATGTCTATTCATATTTTTCATCCATTTTCTAATTAAATTGCCTTTTCATAACTTTGACTCTCATATGTCTTGTTATGCTTTAATTCTATTTGGGGTTTACTATGCTTCTTGAATGTCTACATGTAGATCTTTTGTTAAATTTGAATAATTTTTAGCCATTATTTTTTCAGGTACTTTTTCAGTTTCATCACCTTTCTCCTCTTCTTCACAGACTCTGGTTTGGACAAGTATTGCATCTTATTTTTTCTTTCTCAACTTTTATTTTAGGCTCGGTGGTGGGGGGGCTGTGCGCGGTACATGTACAGGTTCGTTACATGAATAAATTGCCTGTCATGAGGGTGTGGTGTATAAATGATTTTTTCACCCAGGTAGTGAGCATAGTATCAGATAAGTACTTTTTCAACCCTCACACTCCTCCCAGCCTCCACCCTCAAGTAAGTCCTGGTGTCTATTGTTTCCCTCTTTGTGTCCTTGTGTACGCAATGCTTAGCTCTCACTTAGAAGTGAGAATATGCAGTATTTGGTTTTCTGTTCCTGCATTAAGTGACTTAGGATAATGGCCTCCAGATGAATCCATGTTGCTGCAAAGGATGTGATTTTGTTCCTTTTCATGGTTGTGTAGTATTCCATGGTGTTCATGTAGCATATTTTTATCTATCCAGTCCACCACTGATAGGAATCTCGGTTGATTCCTTATCTTTGCTATTGTGAACAGTGCTATAATGAACATAGGTATGCATGTGTCTTTTTGGTAGAACAGTTTATATTCTTTTGGGTATATACCAGGTAACAAGATTACTGGTTTGATTTGTAATTCTATTTATAGTTATTTGAGACATCTTCAAACTGCTTTCCATAGTGGCTTGAAATAATTTACCTTCCTACCAGCAGGGTATAAATATTCCCTTTTCTCTGCAGTCTGACCAACATCTGTTATTATTTGACTTTTTAAAAGTAGCCCTCCTAAGTGGTGTGAGATGGAATCTCATTCTGGTTTTGATTTGCATTTCTCTGGTGACTAGGAATGTTGAGCATTTTTTCATATGCTTGTTGGCCATGTATATATCTTTTTTTTTTTTTTTTAGAAGTGTCTGCTTATGTCTTTTGCCCATTTTTAAATGAGGTTGCTTGGTTTGGGCTTTGTTTAAGATCCTTATGAGATTGTGAATATTAGATCTTCATTGGGTGCATAGTTTGCAAATGTTTTCTCCCATTCTGTAGGGTGTCTATTGACTCTGTTGCTAGTTTCTTTTGCAGTGCAGAAGTTCTTTAGTTTAATTAGGCTACACTTTTCTATTTTTGTTTTTGTTGCAATTGCCTTTGGAGACTTCATCATGAAATCTTTGCCAAGTCCTAGGTCCAGAATGGTATTTTCTGGGTTTTCTTCTAGGGTTTTTAGACTTTTATGTCTTATATTCGAGACTTTAATCTACTTTGAGTTGATTTCTATATATGGTGAAAGGTAGCGGTCCAGTTTCAGTGTTTCGTGTATGGCCAGCCAGTTATCCCAGCATTACTTATTGAATATGGAGTCCTTTCCTCCTTGCTTATTGTTATCAGCTTTGTCGGAGGTCAGATGGTTGTAGGTGTATGGCTTTTATCAGGGCTCCACAGGCCGCTGAGGCTCTGTTTATTTTTAGTTTTAGTCTACTTTTTCTCTCTTTTTCATGTTGTGTAATGTATTCTTCATAGCAAAACTGAAAAGCATCTAGTTTTTATTATACTTGTTTATTTTTAACTTACATTTTAGGTTCGAGATACATGTGCAGGTTTGTTATATAGATAAATTTCATGTCACAGGGATTTGGCTTACAGATTATTTCATCACCCAGGTAATAATCATAGTACCCGCTAGGTAGTTTTTTGATTCTCACCCTCCTCCCTCTCTCTACCGTCATGTCGGCTTGGTGTATGTTGTTCCTTTCTTTGTGTTCATATGTGCCATATTGAGTAATATCAATGGTTCTATCTTCCAGTTCACTGATTCTATTCTTTTCTCTGATCTCTCCATTCTGCTGCTGAGCCCATCTACTGAGTTTTTAATTTCATTTATTGTACATTTTCTATTCTAAATATTCATTTCATTACTCTCTATATATCTACTATTTCTTTTCTGAGACAGTCTATTTTTTAAAGCTATTATGAACACGTTTATAATTGCTCATTAAAATATTTTTATGGTGGCTTTTTGAAATTCTTTGTCACATAATTCTGTTATCTGTCATCTTGGTGTTGGAATCTATTGTCTTTCTTCTTAAATGAATCTTGAATGAATCTATTGTCATTCGTCTTCCTAATTCCTAGCATGGTGACATTTTAATGAACATGATGATTTTTTAAATTAATTTTTAACTTAACAGATAAAATTTTATGTATTTCATGATTTTTTTTTTCCGAGTCTTGCTTTTTTGCCAGGCTGGAGTGCAGTGGCATGATCTCAGCTCACTGCAACTTCTGCCTCCCAGGTTCAAGAGATTATCCTGCCTCAGCCTCCCAAGTAGCTGGGACTACAGGCGTGCACCACGACTCTCAGCTATTTTTTTTTTTAAGTAGAAATGGGGTTTCACCATGTTGGCCAGGATGGTCTCGATCTATTGCCCTCATGATCCACCTGTCTTGACCTCCCAAAGTGTTGGGATTACAGGCGTGAGCCACCACACCTGCCCTGATGTTTTAAACTGTACGGTCAGTGTTGATATATACAATGTCATAGGCTAAATGTAGATAATTAATATATGCATTACCTCACAGTCACCATTTTTGTGATAAGAACTTTTAACATCTATTCTCTCAGCATTTTTGAAGAATATATCGTCATTATCTATAGTTGCTGTGCTATACAACAGATCTCTTGAACTTATTCCTCCTATCTAACTATGATTGTGTATCATTTGACCAACATCTTCCCACCTCCCACCCTGCAAGAACCCCAGCCTCTGGTGACCTCCATTCTATTCCCTACTTCTATGAGATCAACACTTTTAGGTTCAACATATGAGTGAACCAATGCCTGGCATATACTTAACGTAATGTCCTCCAGGTTCATCCATGCTGTCACTAATGATAGGCATATTTTAAACTGATGCATACTATTCCATTGTGTATAAATACCACATTTTATTATAGTTACAAAAATAGAAACCTGGACATTTTTAATTTTATACCAGAAAACTCTGAATCTTAGTTCAACCTTCTCTTTTAGCTGGCTTCCTCTGAGACTGCTCCAGGGATGGAGGGGGTGGGCACTGCCTTCTTACTGCCATGTGAAGTAGAAGTCCAGGTTCTCCACTTGACCTCCATTGACACTCTAGGTGGGGGGCTAGTAATGATTGCTTGGCGAGTTTGGGAGTTTCAGCTTCCTTCTTAGCTTCCATTGCTATTACCCTGGCTAGAAAGTGCAACAGTGTCTTTTAACTGTTCCCCAGCCTCTATTCATAGCACACTGAGGGGGATGGCTTCACTAGTGCTGAGCAGTTGTGAAAGTCTTGCTTCTTCACTGTGCCTCCTCCAACAGCACTCCAGTGGGAGACAAGCCAGAGGGCACCTTATTACTACTGGGAGGGAGTGGGAGTTTAGGCTCCCCATGTGGTTGCCAGTGTTCCACATACATCATGAGGGGGGACTCTTGTTACTTGTTGATGGAGATGAACATCCTGGCTCCCTGCTAGGTCTTTTCTGACACTGGCTTGGTGGAAAGATTGGGGTGCATCATTATAGACCAACGATGGTGGAAATCTAGGCTCCTCACTCAGCCTTTGATGGTGTGGGTGTGACCACCATTTGGTGTGGTGGTTGACTGCAGTAGAGAGGTATATTGTCTAAAAGTTCTGTCTTGCTAGCCTGCCTCTTTCCTGGTGTATTGGCTAGAGAGAGGCTATTCTTGGGGTTTTGTCTATGATAGTTGGCATTTCTGGGTTGTCATCTTCATCAGCTGTAAGCCTGGAATATAGGAGACAAAAAGATGACAGAAAGATTTTACTCATGTGTTATTCCATGTATCTTGAGGTCCTTCTCTCTTCATCTTTAACAGTCTTGTTATGCTTGTTTTATATATAACATCCGACTTTCTTTTTTTCCATTGTACTCAGTGGGACGAATAGGAAAATACCACATCTATTGCATCTTCTTAGAAGCTGAAATGCTAGAAACATTTTTGGTTTTGGTTTTGCTTATTAAGGATCAAGATAGACATAGTCTGAAATGGAAGAAAATATGACAGGATTGTGTTTTTATGAGGGAATAAAAGGATATAGGCCCAACACAGTGGCTGGTGTCTGTAATTCCAGACATTTGGGAGGTCAAGGTAGGAGGATGGCTTGAGGCCAGGAGCTCAAGACCAATCTGAGCGATATAGCAACACCCTATCTCTTCAAAAAAGAATCAAAATTAGTCAGGCATGGTGGCATGTGTTTGTGGTCCTAGTTGTTCAGGCAGCTGAAGTGAAAGGATGGTTTGAGGTCAAGAGTTTGAAGCTGCAGTGAATTATGATCATGGCACTGCACTCTAGTCTGGGTAACAGGGGTAAGACACTGTCTCTGAAAAGAAAAGGATACATAATTTAAAAATATATAAGGAGTAAATTATCCAAATGATTATGAAAGATGATGAAACTTCTCAATATAACATTAATAACTATTACTCATGACTTTGCAACTCAGGAGAGAGAAAATAATTATAACCAAACTTTTAGTAGTATTCACAGTGTATTTGGCAAAAGGTCAAATTAAAACAGGATCTTATTTATTCTTTTTAAGATACCAAGAATGATTTGGCAACCATGATAGTCTAAGATCAGTTACACAACTGTATAGGAAAATTTGTTACTAAAGTTTGTTTTGTGTTTATGTTGTGCAAAGTTTCTTAGGATTGGAAGTGACTTAATAAGTCCAGGTTTCAGCCCCAAAGACAGATTCATTCTATCATGTCATTGGTAGATCATCCCTCCATTCTCTGACTAAGAGGTGAAAAATAAACCAAATGTAGAAGGAGCACTACTGAACATACAAAGTTTGGTCTTAACAGTAGGCATAAATGGATAACTTGCCATATGGAATAAAAATTAGTGAAAAAACAAAATTCCATGTTTAAAATAAGACAAATATCTCATAGACTGCACTATTCCTAGATACAGAAAAAGAGGCTTCCAGTGCATTAGAATAGATAGCTCAGAAAATATTGGATATTTTTCCCCTTACATACTTATAAACATATAACATTTCCTTAATCGCTCCAATGTTATTGAATTTAAACTTTGGTAAAGTTTCCAATACTGAGACGTCCAAGAATTTTTTGATGATAAGGCCACATGATAAAATGTGGAAATCCAACAATGGAGGGCAGAGCTATATTTAATATGGTCTGGCAGATTCAATTCTTTCTCACTCTTACTCTGACTCTGTTTCTGTCTCTGTCTCTGTCTCCCCCACCCCACATATAGAATCATGATGACATTAAAACCAACCTAAATCAAAAGATAGCATAATAAGAACATTAAATTAGCCTCTTTTGGATAATTATTTGCCTTTGAGATTATTTAAATTTGTTTAACTCATAATGCTAAAATAGTTTGAATTTGCTTATCACTTTAACACCAGTGTTTTCAAATGATTCACAAACATTTGAACAATTAAATAAATTTCTGGCAATCCTCATAGAACATTACAAGCAAAATCCAGCCATGTTTATCAATCAATTTATGTTGCGGTAAGTCAGGGACCCCAAACAGAGGGACCGGCTGAAGCCATGGAGGAAGAACATAATTGTCAAGATTTCATGGACATATATTAGTTCCCCAAATTAATACTTTTATAATTTCTTACGCCTGTCTTTACTGCAATCTCTGAACATAAATTGTGAAGATTTCATGGACACTTATCACTTCCCCAATCAATACCCTTGTGATTTCCTATGCCTGTCTTTACTTCAATCTCTTAATCCCGTCATCTTCGTAAACTGAGGAGGAGGTATGTTGCCTCAGGACCTTGTGATGATTGCATTAACTGCACAAATTGTTTGTAGAGCATGTGTGTTTGAACAATATGAAATCTGGGCACCTTGAAAAAAGAACAGGATAACAGTAATGTTCAGGGAACAAGAGAGATAACCTTAAACTCTGACTGCTGGTGAGCTAGGCAGAACAGAGCCATATTTCTCCTCTTTCAAAAGCAAATGGGAGAAATATCACTGAATTCTTTTTCTCAGCAAGGAACATCCCCGAGAAAGAGAATGCATCCCTGAGGGTAGACCTCTGAAATGGCTGCATTGGGAGCAGCTGTCTTTTACGGTCGCAGCTGTAGGGATGAAATAAGCCCTGTCTCCAGTAGCGCTCCCAGGCTTATTAGGACAAGGAAATTCCCGCCTAATAAATTTTGGTCAGACTGATTGCCTGCTTTCAAACCCTGTCTCCTGATAAGATGTTATCAATGACAATGCGTGCCCCAAACTTCATTAGCAATTTTAATTTTGCCTCAGTCCTGTGGTCCTGTGATCTCACCCTGCCTCCATTTACCTTGTGATATCTTATTACCTTGTGAAGCATGTGATCTCTGTGACCCACACCTTATTTGTACACTCCCTCCCCTTTTGAAAATCACTAATAAAAACTTGCTGGTTTTATGGCTCAGGAGGCATCACAGAACCTGCCAAGATGTGATGTCTCCCCCAGACACCCAGCTTTAAAATTTCTCTCTTTTCTACTCTGTCCCTTTATTTCTCAGACCCACCAATACTTAGGGAAAATAGAAAAGAACTTACGTGAAATATCGGGGGTGAATTTCACCCTATAAATTTATTTCTTTTATAGAAGTTATGTAAGTCATAGTCAAAGCCTGCATGTGGTTCTTTAAAACAAAAACTATTTATGAAGGGAGAATAAATCTGAACCTCTCAAAGATCTACCGCTTTCTGTATCTGCTAGCAACTTTAAATTGTATGCTGAGATTCTTTTTAAAATGACATTTATTGAACAGTTGTACCTTTCAAAACAAATTTCCAAGTATGTCAGTTTGAATTAATGCTGGTAAAAAATACTAAAAAGTTTTATTTAGTAAATATCTGAAACTAAGATATTATTCAACTAACATCATATTCCTTTTTACATGCAGAAATTTTCTTAAGTAGTTCCATTTTTATGTGAAATTCTAAAAAACATATTTTCCTGAAATATATTAGACTAAATTAATATGTAAAACAGCCATATTCATCTAGGCAAAATTGCTAAACAAATGAAATTGCTCATTCTTTACTGCTTTGCTCTTCCTTCTTCCATTCTTCCTCTATTCCCCAGGGCCCTTGATTTTGCAGTGGCTTGTAGTTGAACAACCCAGAGCCAGGCTACCCTAGATCACATGTGATGTGGATCTAACTTCCCTTGAAGGGCCTCTTTTAAAGAAATTCCTATTATTCTAATACCTTTCTTCATCAGCATCCTCTTTCCCCTCTAACTTCTGATGTCTTAAAAGACCTGATCCCAGCTAGACATGGAAGTAAGTCTCCCAGTGTTGCCATGTATATGGCACTTCATGTTTAATGAAGGACATTCACATGTATTATTTTGTTTTAGTCTCACAATAACCTTACATACCAGGATAGATACTGTTGTCTCTCTCTGGTACAGATGAGAAAACTTAATCAAAAAGTTATATGAATTTTTAACATCATATTTCCATCAGTAGATGCTGTAGTTATAATTAGAATACAGTTATTCTTCTCTGCTAATCTTGAGTGCTTTACTTGATTTTCAGTAATGAATATTTAATATTCTTAAAACTTCAAAAGGATTTTGCATGTTACAAAGAATTGGAAACTAAATGAATCTTCAACTGGTGAAATTCATTTTATGATTAAAATTTGTGTTTTCATTTATCATTTTAGAATTTATTATTAACCATTAACTAACCTAAACAAACAATAATTGAATTGCTGTTTTGTGTCAGGTGTCATGTTGTACATTGAGGATCCAAAGAAGTATAAAATTAGAACTCTTCCCTTGAATCCAGAGTCTACTGATGGAATTAGGCATGTAAACAATAATTATTATGAAATGGGTAAGTTTTATGATAGAACTGTGTGCATAGCGCTTAGTGAGCACGGAGGAGTGATTGACTGTTTGGGAGAGGTAGGTAAACATGTTACAGAAAAGTATGTTTGAGAAGCAGAGAAGAGAGACTGGGACTTCCAGATGGATACATGGTGCTGGCAGACTTGTGGCTCTGGGAAGCATACTGGGAAGGTAAA
Source organism: Homo sapiens (assembly GCF_000001405.40). Lineage (NCBI taxonomy): Eukaryota > Metazoa > Chordata > Mammalia > Primates > Hominidae > Homo > Homo sapiens. Next base: position 49,240,669 of record NC_000006.12, on the reverse strand, counting down.
AGAATGTGATTGTTTAGATGGCAACAGGTCCTCCAAGATGGTTTAATCTAGGGTGGGAGATAATGGTAAATGGAAAAGGATGAGCTGGAATCAATATTGGAGAATGTACATGCCATGCTAAAAATGGAAAATTATCCTTTTGGGATGATATTAGAGAAGATTTCAATATTTTAAAGTGGGCAAGGACATAATCAAATTTATGTGATTACTAAATTTACAAAGCTCAAAAGAGGTTGCATACCCTAATCCAGATTAGGCAATGTCAGGTTCCTAATTGCATTGAATAAATCAATGAGCAGGCCTACTGATTTTTCTGGAGAGGTCAGCACCAAGGGCCCTGTTCTGAGAAAGGCCTTGCCCCACAAAGCTTCCATCTCTTTCTATAGGAGTCATGAGACATCCTTACAAGCCCTCTCATTCTTCCTCTCCTCCACAATCACTCACAGCATTGTCCTTTTCTACCTTTGATTCTACCAGGACCACCATCATATTATTGTTTATGCCAGTTTTTGTAGAAAGTCCTAGAATCCCAGGTCACCTCTCATCTCTGGGATTCTATTTCCTATAGGGCTCTGCACATGCCCTGTTCTATCTCCATCTTTCATATGTACCCAACTCCCAAAAACACATTTTGGTTGCCCTTAAAAATTCATTGTCCACCACCAGCAAAATCTGCAATGTCCTTTAGCTATAAAGGAAAGCTCCTTGTTCTCACAGAAGCCTAGATTTTTTCTGAGGATACTTCTTATCCTGTAATCCCCTCAAGTATAACTATACTTTTCTTCTTCAGCTTATGTATTACTGGTCATAGGTAGCATTGATGATATTCTTGTTTCCCTTTACTGTTTCTGTTATTCCCTCCTAGTTCCTAAATCAACTACTGTCACTCATTTTTACAGTCATGTACTGATCCAAGTCACTTCCTGTAGCTCTCCAAGGTTTTAACTCCTAAAACTCATTGTTATTTTCTTTAATACTATTCCTGTGTTAATTCTTGATTTCACTGAAAATGTAAATTCTCAGTAGAAAGTGGATGAACCTTCCTCACCAGCCTTCAGATCTTGTACTCCAATGATCTTGTCTTTCATTCAACCTCAGCCACTCAATCTTATGGCTCAGACACTGCCAAGGCCAATAATTTCAAAGTCTCCAAATTTCAATTTTGTGTGTCCTATTCTCTTACTTACACCTCGTGCCTTTCCAGTTTACTGCCTTGAATACCCCTACCTTAGCAGTACTTCAATTTCATAGGACTACCAATCTTCTGATCTGGTCACTCCTTTAATGCCTCTCACCTGATGTACTGTTTTCAAATTACCCAGTGTAAAGTTCATATTCAATTACTATAGTTACTCCACTGCCTATGCTATCAACATCCTTGCCCCTGTATTTTTTGTATTATGTTGGCAAAAATTATAACCACAATTTTATTCGATTCTCCATCAACTCTGTTCTTGTGCTTGTGTAGACAGGTTGCTGGAAAACATAAAACCAGCCCACTGATGTCTGTTTGAGTTCATGACTATGACATGTCAAGTGAGCTCTTACAGTTCATGACAATCATACTGTATTCCCCTAGTACAGCTTCACACCGTCTCATTCTTCTAAAGTTCTGACACTTTCTCTCACAATCATTCTCTCAGAAGATGGTCTTCTTTTCTACTTACCTAAAAAAATGGAAACAATCAGAAGAAAACTTCCACAGATTTCCATTACCATTCTACCATAATCTGCCCTTACAGACTTTGCATTCTATGGTGTTACAGAGATTAATAAGCTTGCCCTTATCTAAATCCTACAAGTTTCCACATTCAATTCAGGTCATTGTTCCAGCAAATCTCCTCTCTGTCGCCTATGTCATTGCTTTCTCTTTCTCTCTACCAAATCATCAGATTATAAGTATACTGCTAGTTTTATTATCCTAAACAAAACAAACAAAAATGTCTATAAAAACAAATGGGAGATAGGAGACAGGACTAATATGCAGCTCCCACTTAGACAGAAAAAAAAAACACGTCTGGAGACTCACATTGTGAACTTTTGCTCCAAGAACCACCACAGCAATAAACCAGGAAAGCTGAAAGAATTCACAGACCCTTTGAAAAAAGTGGTTTGCTGCTGCCAAGTGCTGTGAGACAGCTGAAAAACTCTGAAGAAAAAAGTCATAATCTCTTGGGAGCTATATGGCCCCACCCATCACCTGAGAAACACGAGTACACATCCTGGCCAAAGTAGGGTAAGATTATATCCCCCTTTACTACTGCAGCTGATGCTCTCTTGAAAGTGCCACATCCTGACTGGAGGCCAACCAACTCAAGCTGTTACAGCAACTCATAATAGAACAAGCCTGCTCCGGAGAAGGAGAAAACAACAGCTAATTCCACCTCCTGCAACACCCTGGCTAACCAGAGGTCCTGAGTCTGTCCACATGACAACTTCACTGCTAGCATAATCAGTATTTGAGAAAGCCAGTGCACGAAACAAAACTACAACCAAGGACTCCCAGAGTCCACTTCACTCCCCTGCCACCTCCACTGGAGCAGGTGCAGGTATCCATGGCTGGGAGACTTTAAGATGGTTCACACCAGAGTCCACTTCACTCCCCTGCCACCTCCACTGGAGCAGGTGCAGGTACCCATGGCTGGAAGACCTTAAGATGGGTCACATCACAGGACTCTGCAGACATTCTCCAGCACCAGCCCAGAGCCTGGTAGCCCCTTTGGGTGACTAAATACAGAAAGACAATAACAATAACTGCAATCTGGCTCTCAGGAAGCCCTTTCCCTAGAGTAAGGAGGAGAGCACCACATCAAAGGATAACCCTGTAGAGCAAAATAATATGAACAGCAGCTCTTGAGTTCCAGATCCTTCCACTGAAACAGTCTAGTCAAATGAGAAGGAACCAGAAAAGTAATTCTGGTCATATGACAAAGCAAGGTTCTATAACACCACCAAATGATTACACCAGCTCTCCAGCAACAGATTCAAACCAATAAGAAATCTCTGAACAGCCAGAAAAAGAATTCAGAAGGTTGGTTATTAAGCTACTCAAGGAGGACCCAGAGAAATAAAGATGGAAACCAATGACCAACAAATATATGAAAAAATGCACATCACTAATTATCAGAGAAATGCAAATCAAAACCACAATGCAATACTGCCTTACTCCTGCAAGAATGGTCATAATCTAAAAATGAAAAAATTATAGATGTTGGCATGAATGTTGTGAAAAGGGAACACTTCTACACTGTTGGTGGGAATGTAAACTAGTAAAACCACTATGGAAAACAGTGTGGAGATTCCTTGAAGAACTAAAAGTAGATCTATCTTTTGATGCAGCAATTGCACACCTGGGTATCTACACAGAGAAAAAGAAGTCATTATATAAAAAAGATACTTGCACACTGATGTTTATAGCAGCACAATTTGCAATTGCAAAAATATGGAACCAGCCCAAATACTCATCAATCAACTAGTGGATAAAGAAAATGTGGAATATAAATATATATATATATATAAATTATATATATATAATTTTAAATTATATATATATAATTTATATATATATAAATTATATATATATATAATTTATATATATATACACCATGGAATACCACTCAATCATAAAAAGGAATGAAATAATGGCATTTGCAGCAATCTAGATGGAATTGGAGACAATTATTTTAAGTGAAGTAACTCAGGAATGGAAAAACAAACATTGTATGTTCTCACTTATGAGTAGTAGCTAAGCTGTGAGGATGCAAAGGCATAATAATGATACAATGAACTCTGGGGACTCAGGGGGAAAGGTGGGAGCTGGGTAAGGGATAAAAGACTACACATTGGGTACAGAGTACAAGGCTTGGGTGATGGGTGCACCAAAATCTCAGAAATCACCACTAAAGAACTTATTCATGTAACAATAAATAAATAAATAAATAAAAAGTCATATGTATTACTATGCTGAAAAAATCTATTTTTAAGTCTGAAAAAAAATAGTGGTTGGCATGCATGTGGTGAAAGGAACACTTTTACACTGCTGTTGGAAATGTAAACTAGTACAACCACTATGAAAAACAGTACAGAGATTCCTTAAAGAACTAAAAGTAGAACTACCATTTGATCCAGCAATTCCACTACTGGGTATCTACTCAGAGGAAAAGAAGTAAGTAGTTATATGGAAAATACACTTGCACAAACATAATTATAGCAGCATACTTCACAATTGCAAAAATGTGGAACCAGCCTAAATGCTCATCAACCAATGAGTGGATAAAGAAAATGTGTGTATATACACCACAGGACGCTACTCAGCTATAAAAAGAAATGAAATAATGGCATTTGCAGCAACCTGGATGCAGTTGGAGACCATTATTATAAGTGAAGTAACTCAGGAATGGAAATGAAATTATAAATGAAGTAACTCAGGAATGGACAACCAAACATCATATGTTCTCATTTATAAGAGGGAGCTAAGCTATGAGGACTCAAAGGCATAAGAATGACATAATGGTCTCTGGGGACCCTGGGAGAAGGGTGAGAGGGGCTTGAGGGATAAAAGACCACACACTGGTTGCAGTGTACACTGCTCAGGTGATGGGTTCACCAAAATCTCAGAAATCACCACTAAAGAACTTATTCATGTAACCAAACGCCACCTGTTCCCCAAAAACTATTGAAATAACAATAAAACAAAACTAACAAACAAAACCTCTCCTTCATTACACCATTTCTTCCCCCAATTTCTATTCCATGCATTTGCTCCCCATTGTAGCAAAGCACCTCAACATAGGTGTCTATAATCAACTCTCTCTTCTTGAACCCACTCTGATCAATCTTTGAACCCAGCACTCAGTTGAAAATATTCTCATCAAGGTGTAGAGGAAAAAACGCTATTTTTCTCACCCATTGCAAAGTTCATGGTGACACTCTTATTAAAAAAGACAGATTAATAAAAGTATACAAATGTATTCAAGAGTTTTTTGTGACACAGGAGACTTCAGAAATGAAGACCCCCAAAACTGTGTTTTATTCCTAAATGCAGTGAAGAATGGACAGTTGCATAGAAGTATTATTGGAAAAAAGGGGTATGATCTAATGGTAATAAACTGGAGTGAACATAGGCTGTTTGTTCAGATTCTTCTCTGTGTTTTTATTCTTTACTTCCAGTATAAAAGATCACAACTCTCACATTAGGGTCTTCATGAGAAAAAGGAGGAAGGAAGTCAGAATATAACCTGCCTAGATTTTATGACCTGCTTCAACGAACAGCAGGAAAAGGTCAGAGAGACCTTGCCTTTTCTGTTTTCTCAAATGCCAGTGAGCCATAATTTGGGGCATTGTTTCTTGCACTCCATCAAAAGTCACCAGTGAAGTCACTGTTAAAAATAATGGTCAGTTCTAAGGTCTCAACTTACTATTTTCCTCCAATATTTTTAGTTTCTCCTTTGCATTCTCCTTCGCTGCTACTTCTACACCTCCCAGGTCAGTTATCATTGATGTTAAGAGTTAAATTACTTTAATGGGCAAAACATGAACTTAATGTGCCAAGCTACAAAACCATCTTCCTCAGTGATTTGGAGAAAAAGTTAATTGCAAAGTAGAAAAAAAACCCACAAATAAATAAAATATTTGTTTATCTACCTCTTAACCTGCTGTGATAGGAGTATGCCTATAAAACTCAAGACATCTCAAAAAAGAAGTGCAAATTTAGAAGGTTTACTTTGGTAGCTGCGAATCATAATTAGTCCCTTTTTAACATATATTTGCACAAGAAAAGTTAAAATTTATATTATCAATTTAGTGAGATAAAATATAATGCATAATAAAGAAAACCCATGAGGAATGCCAATATCTGTAATATTTCCTCCTTGATTTAAAATGTTACTCTATTTAAAATTCAAGGTCAAATAAATGTCTGAAAAGAAGTGATTTCTCAAACAATACTGAATTGTATTTATTATGATTACCACAAAGAGTATTATGATTTGCCATCAAGCAAACATAACACACCATTCCACATCTTCTGACACTTAAGCAAACAATATATTACCTACGTGAATATATTGGGTGAAATATGATGGATGAAATAGTGACTCTAGTAGGATGATCACTGAGCTGAGAACACGACACTTGAAATCTGTTAACGACAATAAGGTATAAGCCATAAGTATGATGGTAAGCAAATCACTCAAATCACTTTACTAATCTGTTCATTGATGGAAGAATTGAACCAATGACTTCTAAATACCTGCCATATCAAAGCAATATTTTGGGTTAAATTTTTCACGTTAGTGTGGATAAAGGATATAAATTTATCACTGATAAAAATACAGTAAAAAAGTAAATAATTTACTTTAAAAGTTGATATGTAAAGATATGAAGAAGGAATCTTTTCTGTCTCTTGTCTTTTGGCAGCAGAACAATTATATAAATTGATATCAAGGTGTAATGACCTCTAGCATCTTCCCTAATAGAGTTCAATAAAAAATGTATATTCATAGGATTCACCGTCTATGCTAATGGAAAGTCATAAGTTTCTTCAGGACTGTAAGTTAACCTGGAGAGCATGGAAAGTTTATCTTTATGTCTTCCCTATTTGGCACACTGACAGATTTAAAATAAGCACTCAATAAATTTATCCTGACAAAAGAAATAGTTCAGGGTATAGTTGGGTTGGTCATAGAATTATAAATTGTTACTACTGAAAATGACCTCATCCATCATGCATCTAGTTATTTAAGCCACCTAATAATTCTCAACATTGGCTGCTCAATAGCAAAAGCTGAAGAGCTTTTAAAACATATGATGCCTACAACCCACCACCAGAGCTTCTGATTTTATAGATTTGGCTTGAGACCTAGTATAGTACTTTGTAAAAGCTTTCTAGGTGACTCATCTAGGGGTAAAAAACAAAACATAAAAAACACAGAAAAATACCCAAGTCTTGCTCATTTTCATCATTTTGCAAAGAACCAGTCACAGAGAGTTAAGGTAGTCAGTCATATGTCACTCATCATATTTATGTCAGAACACAGTTGGAACCTGATCTCCCTGACTAATGGAGCAGAATCTTCATACTACAGTGAATTATTTCTGGAAGAACAGATTTTATAGACAAAAGATAGCTGTCCTATACAAATATGAAATTGACCATAAAAAGTTTGAACATTTTTTTTTCTTGTAGAAAAATAGCATGGCATTCCTTTTAAGCAATAGAATAATTTATACCTTGGGGTCATTCCATTGTGGGATACTTTTTATCTAAAGAAGGATTTTCTGGTGGTAATTAACATAGTACATAATATGAAAAGATAATTTTGGGTTCAATTCCTACTTCTACAGTTACTGCTTGTATTTGATTATGTTACTCAAAGTCCAATTTCCTTATTTGTAACATTGAAATAATAGTATTTTGTCCACAGAGTTGCTGTAAGGATTACATGACATTACATATGTAAAGCAGTCTTAATATAGTCCTTAATAAAAAGAAAGCATTCTCTAAATGTGTTACTGTATTTTTATTTCTTTCCTTGAACCAGAAAATAGAAAAGTTATTTTAAGAAATATTTGTTAGGGGAGGTGGAGCAAGATGGCAGAATAGAAGGCTTTACTCATAGTCTCCCTTTCAAGGACACCAATTTAACAACGATCTACAAACAGGAAACACCTTCATAAGATCCAAAAATCTGGTAAGCCCTCACAGCACCTGGTGTTAACTTCATATCACTGAAAGTGGAACTGAAGAGGTAGCAAAAACAGTCCTGAATTGTCAATTCCATCCCCTAAACCCTCACTTGGAACCTCCTCCTCCCTTTCTGCTCAACAGGACAAGGCTGAGTTCATTGCTTCACAATTGTTGTGCTTTCCTTTCCCCAGTGCCCAGAGATACTCTCCGGGTAATTGTGAGACATTGAACTCAGTACTGGCCTGTTAGGGTAGAAAGGAAAACCAGACCAAATTTAGCTGATGCCCATGGAGGGAGCATTTAAACCAGCCCTAGCCAGAGGACAATTGCTGATCCCAGTGGTCTAAACTTACGTGCCTGCATACCTCGCCGTCAAGGGCTGCAGTGATCTGTGTCTCTAAGTAGACTTGAAAGGTAATCTAGGCCATAAGGACTGCAACATGTAGGTGAGTCCTAGTGCTGAAATGGTCACAGAGACAGTGGACTAAGGGGGCATGTGACCTAATGAGGGGGAAGCTAAGGGAGTGCTGGCATCACTCCTTCCCTATACACAGTCTGCACACTCGCAGCTCCAAAAGAGATCACTTCCTTCCATTTGAGGAGAGAAAATGGAAGAGGGGGATGACTTTGTCATCTTGGACACTAGCTCAGCCATAGTAGAATAGTGAACCAGTCAGAGTTGTGAAGCTCCAGTTCTGGGTCCTACCTCTCAAGATGACATTTCTATACACATCCTGGCCCAGAAGGAAATCTGCTGCTTTGAAGGGGTCCATCCTGACAGGTTGAATGAAGTCCTGACAGCATTCATCACCTGATAACTGAAGACCCCTTCGACCCTGAATAACCACTTCTGATTGATAAAAGCAGAGGGAAAAGTAAGGGGACTTTGTCTTGCACTTTAGTTACAAGCATGGTCACAGTGGGGTAGAGAACCAAGGGGGCCCTTAGTTCTGGGACTTGACTCTCAGATGACGTTTCTGTATGTGCTTTGGGCCAGAGAGGAGCCCATTGACCTGAATGGTGAGTCCCAGGCCAGGCAGCATTCACCACAAGCTGACTTAAGAGCTATTGAGCCTTAATGGAACATCAGTGGTAGTCAGGCAGTACTACCTGTTGCCTGTGGTGGTAGGGCCTATTAGGGGAGGCTCCTATGCCTCTGGAAATGGGAGGGAAGACTGGGAAGGACTGTATCTTATGATTTGAGTGCCAGCTCAGCTACAAGTACAATAAAAAAACAGGAACAATTCTATGTTTTTTGACTCTAGTCCCTGGCTCCTGGATGGTACCTCTCAACTACACAGGGCTTGGGGGAACTTGACACCCTCAAGGGAAAGACACAGAGCTGGCTGGCCTTGCCACCTGCTGATTGTAGAGCCCCAGAACCTTGAGGGAACATAGGCAATAGCCAGGGAGTGGTTATAACAGACCTTGGACAAGACCCACGGCCGTGCTGGCTTCAGGTCTGACCCAGAACAGTCATAGTGATAGTATCCACAGGGGTGTTTGTGTCACTCCACCCACAGATTTAGATGGCTCAGAACAGAGAGACAGAGACCCTGTTTGGGAAAAAGTAAAAGAAGAGAACAAGAGTCTCTCTTGGTAATCCAGAGAATTCTCCCAGATCTTGTCCAATATGGTCAAGGTGGTGCCTCTATGAGTCTGCAAGAATCACAGTGCTACTGGTCTTGGTGTGCCCCATAAAGCAGATACAGTTTAGATTACAACACCCAAGAGCTTTTGAATATCTGGAAAGCTTTCCCATGAAGAACGGGTACAAACAAGCTCAGACTGTGAAGACAACAATAAATACCTAAATCTTCAATGCCCAGAAACTGAAGAACATCTACTAGCATCAACACCATCCAGCAAAACATGACCTAATTAAATGAAGTAAATAGAGCACTAGAGACCAATCCTGGAGAAATGGAGATATGTTACCTTTCTGACAGAGAATTCAAAATAGCTGTGTTGAGGAAATTCAAAGCAATTCAACATAACAACAGTGAAAGAATTCAGAATGCTATAAGATAAATTTAACAAAGAGATTGAAATAGTAGAATCAAGTGGAAATTCTGGAGCTGAAAAGTGCAATTGGCATACTAAAGAATGCATCAGAGTTCTTTAATAGCAGAATGGATGAAGACAAAATAATTAGTGAGCTTGAAGATAGGCTATTTGAAAATACACTGTCAGAGGAGACCAAAGAAAAATAACGAAAAACAATGAATTACACCTACAGGTTCTAGAAAATAGCCTCAAAAGGGCAAATCTAAGAGTTATTGGCTTTAAGGTGGAGGTGGAGAAAGAGGTGTAGAAAGTTTATTCAAAGGGATAATCACAGAGAACTTCTTAAATCAAGAAAAAGATATTAATATACAACTACAAGAAAGTTATAGAATACGAAGAAGATTTAACCCAAAGAAGACTACCTCAAGGCATTTAATAATCAAACTCCCAAAGATCAAGATAGAGAAAGGATCCTAAAAGCAACAAGAGAAAAGAAACAAATAACATACAATGGAGTTTCAATATGTCTGGCAGTAGATTTTTCAGTGGAAACCTTACAGGCCAGGAGAATGTGGTATGACAAATTTAAAGTCATGAAGGAAAATAACTTTTATTCTAGAATAGTATACCATAAAAATATTCTTCAAATATAAAAGAGAAGTAAAGACTTTCCCAGACAAAAAGAAAAGCTGAGGGGTTTCATCAACACCAGACAAGTCCTAAAAGAAATACTAAAGGGAGTACTTTAATCAGAGAGAAAATGATGTTAATAAGCAATAAGTAATCATCTGAATGTACAAAACTCACTGGTAATAGTGAGTACACATAAAAACACAGAATATTATAATGCTCTCTTTCTGTGGTGTGTAAACTACTCTTATCCTAAGTAGAAAGACTAAACAGTGAACCAATCAAACAATAACAACTAGCACAATTTTTGAGATGTAGACAGTACAATAACATATAACTAGAAACAAGAAAAAGATTAAAAGTAGGTAGACAAAGTTTAGACATAAAGTTTTTATTAGTTTTCTTTTTGCTTGGTTGCTTATGCAGAGTGTTAAATTGTTATCAGGTTAAAATGATGGATTATAAGATAGTATTTGCAAGCCTCGGCCAGGTGCAGTGGCTCACACCTGTAATCCTAGCAGTTTTGGAGGCCAAGGCAGGCAGATCACAAGGTCAGGAGATTGAGACCATCCTTGCTAACATGGTGAAACCCTGTCTCTACTAAAAATACAAAAAATTAGCTGGGCATGGCGGTAGGCACCTGTAGTCCCAGCTACTCGGGAGGCTGAGGCAGGAGAATGGCGTGAACCTGGGAGGCAGAGCTTGCAGTGAGTCAAGATTGTGCCACTGCACTCCAGGCTGGGTGACAGAGCAAGACTCTGTCACAAAAAAAAAAAAAAAAAAGATAGTATTTGCAAGCCTCATGGTAACCTTAAACTAAAAAAAAAAAAAAAAAAAAAATTACAATGGACACACAAAAAGTAAAAAGCAAGAAAGTAAATCATATTAACAGAGAAAATCAACTTCACTAAAGGAAGACAGAAAGGAAAGAAAGAAGGAGGGCAATACCACAAGACAACCAGGAAACAAATAACAAAATAGCAAAAGTAAGTCCTTATTATCAATATTAACATTGGATGTAAATGGACTAAACTCTCCAATGAAAAGACACAGAGTGGCTGAATGGATGAAAAAACAAGACCCTTTAATCTGTTGCCTACAAGAGACATATTTCACCTATAAAGACACACATACACTGAAAATACAGTGGTGGAAAAATATATTCCATGCCAATGGAAATCAAAAAAGAGTTGGAGTAGCTATACTTATATTAGGCAAAATAGATTTCAAGACAAAAACTATAAAAAGAGACAAAGAAGGTCACTATATAATGATAAAGGGGTCAGTTAAACAAGAGGATATAACATTTTAAATATATATGCACTAAACACTGGAGCACCCAGGTATATAAAACAAATATTATCAGACCCAACGAGAGAGACTGGTCCCAATATAATAATAGCTGGAGACTCCAACACTTCACTTAAAGCATTGGATAGATCTTCCAGACAAAAAATCAACAAAGAAACATGAGATTTAATCTGCACTATAGACCAAATGGATCAAATAGATGTTTACAGAACACTTCATCCAATGGCTACAGAATACATATACTTTCCTTCAGCAAATACATCATTCTCAAAAATAGACTATATACTAGGGCACAAAACAAGTCTTAAAACATTCAAAAATTGGAAATATTGAGAATTGTCTGTTCATATCTTTTGCCTACTTTTTGATGGGGTTGTTTTTTCTTGTAAATTTGTTTAAGTTCCTTGTAGATTCTGCATATTAGAGCTTTGTCAGATGGGTAGATTGCAAAAATTTTCTCTCATTCTGTAGGTTGCTGGCTCACTGTGATGATAGTTTCTTTTGCTGTGCAGAAGATCTTTAGTTTAATTAGATCCTACTTGTCAATTTTGGCTTTTGTTGCAATCGCTTTTGGTGTTTTAGTCATGAAGTCTTTGTCCATGCCTATGCCCTGAATGGTATTGCCTAGGGTTTCTTCTAGGGTTTTTATGGTTTTGGGTTTTACATTTAAGTTTTTAATCCATTTTGAGTTAATTTTTGTATAAGGTGTAAGGAAGAGGTCCAGTTTCAGTTTTCTGCATGTGGCTAGCCAGTTTCCCAGCACTATTTATTAAATAGGAATTCCTTTCCCCATTGCTTGTTTTTGTCATATATGTCAAAGATCAGATGGTTGTAGATGTGTGGTGATATTTCTGAGGTCTCTGTTCTGTTGCATTGGTCTATATACCTGTTTTGGTGCTAATACCATGTTGTTTTGGTTACTGTAGACTTGTAGTATAGTTTAAAGGCAGGTAGCATGAAGCTGCTAGCTTTGTTCTTTTTGTTTAGGATTGTCTTGGCTATACGGACATTTATGTGGCCAAGAAACATGGAAAAAAGCTCATCATCACTAATCATTAGAGAAATGCAAATCAAAACCACAATGAGATAACATCTCACTTCAGTTAGAATGTCGATCATTAAAAAGTCAGGAAACAATAGATGCTTCTGAGGCCGTGGAGAAATAGGAATGATTTTACACTGTTGGTGGAAGTGTAAATTAGTTCAACCATGTGGAAGACAGTGTGGTGATTCCTCAAGGATCTAGAACCAGAAATACCATTTGACCCAGCAATCCCATTACTGGGTGTATACCCAAAGGATTATTCTACTGTAAAGACACATGCACATGTATGTTTATTTCAGCACTATTTATAATAGCAAAGACTTGGAACCAACCCAAATGCCCATCAATGATAGACTGGATAAAGAAAATGTGACACATATACACCATGGAATACATGCAGCCATGAAAAAGGATGAGTTCATATCCTTTGCAAGGACATGGATGAAGTGGGAAGCCATCATTTTCAGCAAACTAACACAGGAACAGAAAACCAAACACCACATGTTCTCACTCATAAGTGGGAGCTGAACAATGAGAACACATAGACACAGGGAGGGGAACATCACATACTGGGCCTGTTGGGGGTTGAGGGGGCAATGGAAGTGAGAACATTAGGACAAATATCTAATGTATGTGGGGCTTAAAACCTAGATGACAGATTGATAGGTGCAGCAAACCATGGCACTTGTATACCTGTGTAACAAACCTGCACATTCATCTGGGAACTTAAAAAAAATGTTGAAATAAGCCCACACACTGTCAAAATACCAATGACATTTTTCATAGAAATAGAAAAAAGAATCCTAAAATTTATATGGAACCACAAAAGACCCAGAATAGCTAAAGCTATCATAAACAAAAACATCAAAACTGGAGGTATCCCATTACCTGACTTCAAATTATAATACAGAGCCACAGTAACCAAAACAGCATGGTACTGGCATGAAAACATATAGCTCAATGGAACAGAACAGAGAACCCAGAAACAAATCCACACACCTATAGTGAATTCATTTTTGACAAAGGCGACAAGAACATACACTGAGGAAAAGACAGTCTCTTCAATAAATTGTGCAGGGAAAACTGGATATCCATATGAAGAAGAATGAAACTAGACCCTTATCTCTCGTCATGTATAAAAATCAAATCAAAATGGATTAAAAACTTTAAGACATCGGCCGGGCGCGGTGGCTCACGCCTGTAATCCCAGCACTTTGGGAGGCTGAGGTGGGTGGATCATGAGGTCAGGAGATCGAGACCATCCTGGCTAACAAGGTGAAACCCCGTCTCTACTAAAAATACAAAAAAATTAGCCGGGCGCAGTGGCGGGTGCCTGTAGTCCCAGCTACTCGGGAGGCTGAGGCAGGAGAATGGCGTGAACCCGGGAAGCGGAGCTTGCAGTGAGCCGAGATTGCGCCACTGCAGTCCACAGTCCGGCCTGGGCGACAAAGGGAGACTCCGTCTCAAAAAAAAAAAAAAAAAAAAAATCTTTAAGACATCAATCTATGAAGCTTCTAGAAGAAAACATTGGGGAAACTTCCTAAGACATTGGCCTGAGCAAAAATTTCTTGAGCAATACCCCAAAAGCACAGGTAACCAAAGTAAAAATGGACAGATGGGATCACATCAAGTTAAAAAGCTTCTGCACAGGCAGGATGTGGTGGCTCACACCTGTAATCCCAGCACCGAGGGAGGCCAAAGTGGGCAGATCACCTGAGTTCAGGAGTTCAAGACCAGCCTGACTAACATGGTGAAGACTCGTCTCTACAAATATACAAAAATTAGCCAGGCATGATGGCAGGTGTCTGTAATCCCAGCTACTTGGAAGGCTGAGGTGGGAAAATCACTTGAGCCAGGGAGGTGGAGGTTGCAAGCCTGGGTGACAGAATGAGACTCCGTCTCAAAAACAAACAAACAGACAAACAAAAGGCTTCTGCACAGCTGAAGGAAACAATCAACAAAGTGAAGACAATCCACAGAATGGGAGAAAATGTTTGAAAACCACCCATCTGACAAGGGATTAATAACCAGAATAAATAAGGAACTCAAATAACTCTATAGGAAAAAAATCTAATAATCCAATAAAAAATAGGCAAAAGATTTGAATAAGCATTTCTTAAAAGAAGACATACAAATAGCAAATAGGCATCTGAAAATGTGCTCAACATTATTGATCATCAGAGCAATGCAAATTAAAACTACAATGACATATCATGTTATCTCAGTTAAGATGGTTTATATCCGTTAGACAGGCAATAACAAATGCTGGCAAGGATGTGGAGAAAGAGGAACCCTTGTATACTGACTGTTGGTGGGAATATAAATTTGTGCAATCACTATGGAGAGCAGTTTGGAAGTTCCTCAAAAAACTAAAAATAGAGCTACCATATAATCCACCAATTCCACTGCTGGGTACATACCCCCCAAAAAGAAAATTAACCTATCAAAGAGATATCTGCTCTTCCATGTTTGTTGCAGCACTGTTCATGATAGCTAAAAACTGGAAGCAGCCTGTGTCCATCAACAGATACATGGATAGGGAAAATGTGGAACATATACTCAAAGGAGTACTATTCAGCCATAAAAAGAAAGAAATTCTGCCATTGGCATGAGATAAATGGAACTGGAGATCACTATGTTAAGTGAAATAATCCAGGCACAGAAAGACAAGCATTGCATATTCTCACTTATTTGTGGGACTGAAAAAATCAAAACAATTTAACTCATAGACACAGAGAGTAGAAGAATGGTTACCAGAGGCTAGCAAGGGGGCTGTGGGGAGGAGTTGGGGATGATTAATGAGACAAAAATATAGTTAGAACGAATAAGACTTGTTATTTAATAGCACAACAGAGTGATTATAGCCAATAATAACTTAATTGTACATTTAAAAATATCTAAAAGAGTGTAATTGGATTGTTTGTCATATAAAGGATAAATGCTTGAGGGGGTGGACACCCCATTCTCCATGATGTGATTATTATGCATTGCATGCCTGTATCAAAACATCTCATGAACCTCATAAATATATAAACCTACTATGTACCCACAAAAATTTTTAAGAAAGAAATTTTTGTTAAAATGTAAAAATGTTGATGTCAGTACATCTTTTTTTTTCAGTGTTAAACCTATCTCTGTTATTCCCTGCGTTCCTTAATCTCTGCAGATTTTTCCTTAATAAGAAAAATAGTCAGTTTATTGGTGTCTACTGGGCAAGCTCAGAACAAAGTTAGAGTAAATATTCTGTCAAAATACGTTTTTTTTTTTTAACAAAGAAACACAACCCGTAAAGCTTTCAGCAATTTTATTTCAGATCTAAGAAAGATTCTTTTTCATTTTACTTTTTTTTTTAAAGAGATAATCTCTGTATCACCCAGGCTGGAGTGCAATGGTGCGATCGTGGCTCATTGCAGCCTCAACTTTCTGGACTCAAGCAATTCTCCAGTCTCAGCCTTTTGAGTAGTGAGGACTACAGGCATGCAACAACATGCCCAGCTAATATTTTTATTTTTTGAAGAAACGAGGTCTTGCTATGTTTTCCAGGCTGGTCTGAAACTCCTGGACTCAAGCAATCCCCTCACCTCAACCTCCCAAAGTGTTGGGATTACAGGAGTGAGCCATAGCGCCCAGCCTATGAAAGCTTCTTGAACCCGTAGTCATGGTTTTTTCGTCACTCACTATCACTCTACTACTGCTTCTGTCCATTGAATCTCTTAAGGAAGAAAACAATGACATCAAGCAAACATGTTCATAGTATAGCCTGTTCTGTAACAGTTTATCATTGGCATCCTATACTGTCAAAGAGTCCTAATAACCCATACCTTTATACTGCATGTAGCCACCCAGCAAGGAGGAACAACCCTGTGGAGGAAAAACCTTAGGGCCCAGAGGAACTCTTTAGCAAAGTAAGAGATGATGTCCTTTCTTATTCCCTCAAAGCAGGGTATTACGTCCACCCCGCAAAGAAAAACTACCCTTGGTTTGAAAAAATGTGAAAAAAATGTGAAGAAATGTAAGAAGGGGGTAAATGGTGAATCATTTTTTTTCTATTGAAATTAAAAAGAAAGGAGGAAAATATAAAAAATGAGGAAATTACATTAAAGTGTATTATATACATTTGTAATCAACTGTAAGGACAAATAAAAACTTATGAAAAGGGCTTAATTCTTCCTGTTCAAAATGATGAAAGATGTTTCTCTTTCCTTTTTTAAAACATTTACTTTTATAAATTTATAATTGTAAATTCTTTCTTTGCCCCTCTGAGATATATGTAAATCCTTCTTTAAGAGGGTTTTTGTGAGCTTTATAGCTCAGAAATGTCCTTTTCAAGAACACGGGAATCATCTCTTCCAAATGCAACCACCAAGGCACAATCACACTGTTAAGAGTGCAGCTTTAGATTCAGTGCTTTAGTGCTCATATCGAAGTTGCCTTAGCTTATACTTGTGGTTAACTAAAACTTCTAGGGCAAATTTTTTTCCCACATGAATTTTGCCAATCCATATATTATCCATTCATCATAATGAAAATTGGTTGCCATGGGAGAACCTACTTCATTCTATGCTTTGGGACTTATTATTCCAGTCCACTGAGCTTACTTTGAAGCTTTATTTTGTTCTGTGATGATTCGGCTAATCATTCCTCTCATCTCTGTGTCACCTGCCTGTGTAGTAAGCATAACTTATACTTATCATTACTATTTGAATGAAGATATTGAGCAAGATTGGTAACAAATGTTTTCAGCCTGTAGCAGAAAAGCTTCTGACAAGTAGATCAAGTTTCTATTAATAAATATATATGAAGAGCAGCGTTATCACCAGTTGTAAACCTAGTTGAGTGTAATATTTTTCAGCATTTATTTACTCTTCTTCAAGAGATTACAAACATCCTTTTCTAATATTTTTCTGAAATGCAGACACTTTCCCCATATATTTTACTGTTCCAAAAAAGAAATTGATAGGGTAAATAAAAATGATTTGTCCTTAATAAAATACTATTTTCACTTAATAATTATTATCTTATGCTCTTTACCATTTAGAATGCATTTTAAAATGCATTCTAAAATAGTTTCATGAGTAGATGTCAAGCTTATTTATTTAACTTCATTTATGTTTTAATCTATGAAAATTGGGATAAATATCAGGTGTTAAATAACACCTGCAACTTACACTGTTATTCCTCATGGATTCTAGATTATTGCTAATGGTGGTTCTATACACATGTCTGTAAGTTATTTCATTATCTTGAACTACTAGATATTTAGCTTCAGGCTCTTTTTTTATTTTGTTCACTGTGATATCCTCCATGTCTAGAACTGAGTCTGAAAGCAAACAGGTGCTGAGACATCATGCGTTGAATTTGAACAGTGGAAAGGGCATGGACCTTGGCATCATGTAGACCCGAGCTGAGACTTGAGTCCTTTCTACTTACTAGTAAATATGATATTTAAAAATGATTTACACCTTTGATTTTATTTATACAGACATCTATTATGTTATTAAGATGTTGTTACTACTCTCTATGTTTTATATTATTGGGGATTGGGGTCGACATGGAAAAATACTGCCCAGATCCCTCTAGAAACAGACTCCTTGCCCAGCTATGAGGAGTGTGGTTAATAGCCTCCAGCTGTTAACATTTAAAAATTTTTTTTCTGGATTTATTGATACATGATTGACAAGTAAAAATTGTGTATATTTAATATGTCCAATGTGATTATTTGATAAACATATATACTATGAAATGTTTACCACAGTCAAGCTAATTAATACATCTGTTACCTCACATTACATTTTTTGGTGAGTAGTGAGAACACTTTATATCTACTTTAGCAAATTTTAAGTATATAATAAATTATTAATAACTATAGTCACTATGCTGTATATTAGATCTCCAGATCTTATTCATCTTACACCTGAATGTTTGTACACTTTGACCAACATCTCCTTATTTCCCTCAATTCCCAGCCTCTGGAAACCATCATTTTACTGTCTGTTTCAGTGAGTTAGACTTTTTTAGATTCCACATGTAAGTAGATATCATGCAGTATTTATTCTTCTGTGTCTGATTTATTTCACTTAGCATAATGTCCTCCAGGTTCATCCATGTTGTTGCAAATGGCAGGATCTCCTTTTTTTGAGGTACAACAATATTCATATATATATATATGTAGTCTTTCATATATATATATATTTGTTTTACTTTTTTATAAAGTAAATATATATACACACACACACCACATTTTCTTTATCCAGTCATTCATCAATGGACATAGGTTATTTACATATCTTGGTTATTGTGAATAATGCTGCAATGAACATGGGAGTGCAGATATCTCTTTGAGATGGTGATTTTCCTTACTTTGGATACATATACCCAAATAAGATTTCTCGATCATATGGTAATTCTATTTTTAATTTATGAGGAATCTCTGTACTGATTTCCATGATGGCTGTACCACTTGACATTTTCACCTACATGTATGAGTTCCTTTTTCTACACATCCTTGCAAATACTTGTTATCTTTTGACTTTTTGCTAATATCCTTCCTAGGAGGCATGATATCTTATTGTTGTTCTGATTTGCATTTCCCTAATGATTAATGAGCCTTAGTGCACCCTTTCGTATGCCTGTTGGCCATTTGTGTGTATTCCTTTAAAAAAAGTCTAATTCAGGTCCTCTGCCCATTTTCTAATTGGGTTCTTTGGATTTTGTGTATTTGAGATGTGTAAGTCCCTTATATATTTTGGATATTAATCCTTTATCAGATATATGGTTTACAAATATTTCCTCCCATTCTGAAGGTGGTCTCTTTATTTTGTTTACTGTTTCCTTTTTTGGCTGTGCAGAAACTTTTTAGTTTGATGTAATTTCACTTGGTTATTTTTGCTTTTGTTGCCTTCACATTTGGTGTTACATCCAAAAACTCATTGCCAAGGCTGATATTTAGATTTTCCACCATGTCTTCTTAGAGTTTCAAAGTTTCGTGTCTTTCATTTAAGTATTTAAGCCATTTTGAGTTGATTTTTGTTTAAGGTTTAAGATAAGGGTCCAATTTATTCTTTTGCTTATGGATATTCAATTACCTAGCACCATTTACCATTTGTTGAAGAAATTAGCTTTTCCTCACTGGGGATTCTTGGCACACTTTTTGTAGATCAGTGGGTTTATTTTTAGGTTATCTATTCTGTTTCATTGGTCTATATATCTGTTTTTTTTTTCCCAATACCATACTCTTTTAATTTCTGAAATTTTATAATATATTTTGAAATCAGGAAGAAGATTACTTTGGCTATTCAGGGTCATTTGTAATTCTGTGTGAATTTTAAAATGTTTTCTTTTATTTTTTCTGTGAAAAATGCCATTGGAATTTTGATAGAGATTGCAATGCATCTGTGGGTTGCTTTGGGTAGTATGGATGTTTTATTAATATTAATTCTTCTAATTTATGAATATGGGCTATCTTTCTATTTATTTCTGTCTTCAATTTTTATCAATACGTCATTCTTTTAAGGGTACAACTCTTTCACCTACTTGGTTAAATTTATTCCTAATTATTTTATTCTTTCTGATGCTATTGTAATGGGGTTGTTGTCTTAATTTCTTTTTTAGATAATTCAGTTAATGTATAGAAGTAAAACTAATTTTTATATGTTAATTTTGATTTTGTATCCTATAACTTTCCTGAATTCATTTATTAGATCTAACCGTTTCATGGTGAACTCTTTAAAATTTTCTACATATATGATGATATTGCAAGCGAAGAAAGACACTTTAACTTCTTTCTTTCCAATCTCAATGCCTTTTATTTCTTTTTCTTGCCTAATTTATTTTGCTAGAACTGCTAATACTATGTTGAATAGAAATGGTGAAAGCAGACATTTCGTCTTCTTGACCTTAGAGGAAAGCTTTCAGCTTTTCATTGTTGAATATGATGTTATCTGTGGTCTTGTATGGCCTTTATTTTGTTGAGGTGCTTTCCTTCTCTACCTAATTTGTTGAACGTTATTTTTAAACATAAAAGAATGTTAAATTTTGTCAAATGCTTTTTTTTTGCACCTATTGAGATTATTGTATGGATTTGTCCTTTATTCTCTTCATGTGGTATATCACATTGATTGATTTTGTATGTTGAATCATCTTTGTATCTCAGGAATAAATCCCACTTGATCACAGTGTATGATCCTTTCAATGTGTTGTTGAATTTGGTTTGATGGTATTTTGCTAAGCATTTTTGTATACATATTTATCATAATTATTGACCTGTAATTTTATTTTCTTGTAATATCCTCAACTGGCTCTGGTATTTGGGTAATGCTAGCCTCATAAATGAGTTGGAAAGTGTCCTCTCCTCTTCAATTTTTTGGAAACATTTGAGAAATATTAGTGTTAGTTTTTCTTTAAATGTTTGGTAGAATTCAGCTGTAAAGCTACTCTTCCTGGGCTTTTCTTTTGTTTGGAGATATTTGATTACTGAGTCAATATTTTTACTTATTACTGGTTTGTTTAGATTTTCTTTTTTTTTATGATTCACTCTTGTTAGGTTGTACCTGTCTAGGAATTTATTTATTTCTTCTAAGTTATCTAATTTGCTTTCATATAATTGTCTATAGTAGTCCTCTACAATCCTTTTATTTCTGCAGTATCAGTTGTGATGTCTTCTCTTTCATTTCCGGTTATATTTACTTGATCTTCTTTTTTATTGGTTTAGCGAAAAGCTTGCCAATTTTGTTTATCTTTATTACAAAATAACTTATTTCTGTTGATCTTTTTCATTGTTTTTCTAGATTGTTTAATTTTTTTAACTTAGGTGTTTATTACTATAAATTTTCCTCTTATAACTGCTTTTGCTGCATTCCATCAGTTTTGGTATCTCATGTTTCTATATTCATGTGTCTCAAAGTATTTTTTGACCTCTTCTTTGACACAATGGTTTTTCAGGAGTTTAATTTTTATGCATATGTAATTTTTCCAGTTTCCTACTTTTAAAAATGTCCCGTTTCATACCACTGTGGTCAGAAAAGATATTTGATGTAATTTCTATTTTCTTAAATATGTTAAGACTTGTTTTGTGGCCTAACATATGATGTATACAGCAGAACGTTCTGTGTGTGGTTGATAAGAATGTGTATGCTTCTGCTACTGGATGAAATGTTCTGTGTATGTCTGTTAGATTCATTGGTGTATAGAATCATTCAAGTGTGCTGTTCCTTTATTGATTTTCTGTCTCAAAGATCTTTCCATTGTTTAATGTAGGGTACTGAAATTCCCTACTAATATTGTGTTGCTGTTCCATCTTTTTCTTCACATATATTAATATTTGTTATTTATATTTAGGTGCTTCAGTGATGAGCGCATATACACACATGCATCATATATATATGCCCACACATATATGCATATATATGCATCCATCATATATGTATATGATGTGTGGGTGTGTATATATATCTCCATGTATGTATATATGGGTGTGTGTATATATAGTCTATACAATATATACCTATATGTATAATATATACATATATATGTGTGTATACACACATAGGTATATATGATGTCTAGGTGTATATATATGTGGATGCATTTATGGATGCATATATATGTAAATATATATATTTACAATTGTTTTATTATCTTGGTAAATTGACCACTCAAACATTACATAATAATCTTTTTCGGCTCTTGCTACAGTTTTTGACTTAACATCTATTTTGTTTGTTATAAGTATAGCTACCCCTGGTTTTCATTTGCATCTAATATCTTTTACCTTACCTTTACTTTCAGCTAATGTGAGTCCTTAAAGCTAAATGAGTCATTTATAAGCAACATATAGTTGGGTCTTGTTTTTTAATCTTTTTTGCTACTCTATGTTTTTTGATTGAAGAATTTAGTCCATTTACATTTAAAGTAATGATTAATAGGTAATGACAGCATTGTCATTTTGTTTATTGTTTTCCAACTGCTTCATAGTTTCTGTGTTCCTTTCCTCCTCAACTTCTGTCTTCCTTTGTACTTTGATAATTGTTTGTAGTCGTATGCTTTGATTTCTTTCTCAATATTATTTTTGTATCTACTTTTTGCTTTGTTTTTAACATGTGATTTTCAGAAAACTTCATATAGTTGTAACAGTCTACTTTGAACTGATAAATTAACTTCAATCTCATAAAAAAAACTCTGCATTTCTATTCCTGTCCATTTTGTGTTTTTGATGTCAGAATTTCCTTCTTTTTATATTGGGTATACATTAACAAAATACTATTGCTATAGTTATTTTTAATAGTTCATGTTTTTAACCTTTATACTAGGTTAAAAAGTGATTTATGTACAACCGTTATAGGATTAAATATTCTGAATTTGACTAAGTTTTTACCTTTACAGTAAGTTGTATACTTTTATATGTTTTCATGTTGTTATTTAGTGCCCTTTCACTACAACTTGAAGAACTTCTAGCATTTTCTGTAAGGCAGGTGTAATGGTGATGATCTTCCTCACCTTGTTTGTTTAGGAAATTCATTCTCTCTCCTTTATTTTTGAAGGATATTCTTGCTAGGGATAGCATTCTTGGGTGGCAGGCAGGTTTTTTTTTCCCTTGTCTATGAGTAATTTTCAAAATTGGTGCACTGTGGACAGATGATGGTAGACAACTAATATTTTTCAATTTTGCTGATGTCATTCCTCTAGATGTTTACATTTTTAGAATCTACTTCAGTTTTGGGGCCATGGGCCACCCTTCTTGGGAGCAGCCTTTGGCTAATACTGAATAAGGAGGTGGTATAGGAGTCTTACCATTTCTATCAATACAGGACTTCTTTAATAAATAATCTTTGCTCCAGAGCTCTAGGTGGGTTGGTGGAAGACTTTATTTAGTGTGCAGTGTGATGGAGCCTCATACTAGAAAATTCTTTTCTTTTCTTCTGGCCCTGTGTAACCCATAATCATCTTTGGGCTCTAAATTCAAGCATAACTTCCTTAGGAAAACCTTCCTAAGTCCAATTTTCCTACTGTAAATTCACATAGCTCTTTCTCTAGTTGAATTTTATGTTGCAAGTATTTAATGTCTGTTTCCTAATTAGGCTGCAAGTGAAATAATGTCTATTTTTGCTCTCTATTGTATTACCTTGGACTGGCACAGTGTGAGACAGTTATTAAAATGATCAATAAATATTTGCTGGGTTGAAGTAATAGTATATAAATATTGTAAGGGATTTTGACCTATAATTGTATATCTCAACTAATCATTGAATATTTTGTGCTTAGAATGAAATATTCCAGCACTGGCATCACTTTAGATTTCTTAGTAATGCAAACGATTATGTAGAGAACTGAGACAGTGAAGATAATTTAGTACATAAATTGGAATGAAGAAAAGGGAATGGAAACCCAAAAAGTTGGAGAGTAAGACACATTATAATTTGTGAGTTTTGAATGTGGAAGATAAACAAAATATTTCATTACTAGGAAAATGACAAATACTAGAGTTAATAAAAGTGAAGGTTTTTCCCTAATGAGCTTTAACCCTGTCTTGGGATTTTATTTACCCTCCATTTTGCTAGAAAACCAGGGCAGTTTAACACTTGTCTTTTTGCTCAAGGTTATGTCTAACAATGTAATTATTTCTTTGGTATGGGATAAAAATAGTTTAACTACCTTGCTTAGCAATTGTTAATTTTTTAATTATTTTTGTAATTTAGATTCATGTGGTACATTTGCAGATTTATTGCATGGGTATGTTGCATGATGCTGAGGTTTGGGCTTCTATTGATCATGCTAACAAATAACAAATATTGGCCGGGTGCAGTGGCTCACACCTGTAATCCCAGCACTTTGGGAGGCCGAGGTGGGCGGATCATGGAGTCCGGAGATCGAGACCATCTTGGCTAACATGGTGAAACCCTGTCTCTACTAAAAATACAAAAAATTAGCCGGGCGTGGTGGCGAGCGCCTGTAGTTCCAGCTACTTGGGAGGCTGAGGCAGGAGAATGGCTTGAACCCAGGAGGCGGAGCTCGCAGTGAGCCAAGATTGCGCCACTGCACTCCAGCCTGGGCCAAAGAGTGACACTCCATCTCAAAAAAAAAAAAAAAACAAAAAAAACAAATATAGTACCCAATAGGTAGTTTTTCAACCCATACCCCCCTTTTTTCTTATCCCTTTCGTTCCCGTATTATGCCCATGATTGACCAATGTTTAGCTCCCACTTATAAGTGAGAATGTGCAGTATTTGGTTTTCTGTAGGGTAATGGCCTCCAGCTGAATCCATGATGCCACAAAGGACATGATTTTCTTTTCTTTTTTATGGCTGGCATAGTATTCTATGGTGCATATGTGCCACTTTTTTAAATCCAACTCATTATTGATGAGCATGTGGGTTGATTTCATGCCTTTGCTATTGCGAATGGTGGAATTACTTATTTTCCTTTGGGTATATAGCCAGTAATGGAATTTCTGGGTCAAGTGGTTTTTTTTTTTTTTTTTTTTTTTTTTTAGTTCTTTGAGAAATTTTCAAACTGCTTTCCAATGTGGCCGAACTAATTTACATTCCTACCAATAGTCTGAAGCATTCTTTTTTCTCCACAACCTTGCCAACGTTCGTTGCTTATTTGACTTTTAATAATAGTCATTCTGACTGTTGAGAGATGGTATATTATTGTGATTTTGATTTACATCTCTCTGATGATTAGTTTTTTTCATATGTTTATTTGTCACTTATATGTCTTCTTTTATAAAGTGTCCGTTCATGTTCTTCATCTACATTTTAATGGAGTCATTTTTAAAATTTTTTTAAGTTCCTAGAGATTCTGTATATTATTCTTTTGTTGGACGCCTAGCTTGCAAATATTTTCTCCCCTTCTCTAGGTTTTCTGTTTACTCTGTTGATAGTTTCCTTTGCTGTGGAAAAGCTCTTTAGTTTAATTAGGTTCCAATTTGTCAATTTTTGTTTTTGTTGCATTTGCTTTTGAGAACTTAGTCATAAATTCTTTGCCTAGGTCAATGCCCACAAGTGTATTTTCTTGGTTTTCTTCTGGGATTTTTAAAGTTGGAGGGCTTACATTTAAGCATTTCATCCATTTTGAGATAATTTTTGTATATGGGGTCCAGCTTTATTCTTCAGCATTGTTTTCCTAGCACCATTTATTATTTTGTTGCCATTCTCAAAGATCAGTTGGTTGTAGGTGTGTGGCTTCATTTCAGCGTTCTCTTTCTGTTCCATTGATCTATGTGCCTATTTTTGTACCAGTAACACACTATTTTGGTTACTGTAGCTTTGTAGTACAGCTTGAAGTTAGCTATGCCTCTAGCTTTGTTCTTTTTGCTTAGGGTTGCTTTGACTATTTGGGCTCTTTTTTGGTTCCATGAGAATTTTAGAATTTTTTTTTCTAATTCTGTGAAAAATAACATAAATAATTTGATGGGAATAGTGATGAATCTGTAAATTGCTTTGGGCAGTGTAGCCATTTTAACAATATTGATTCTTCCAATCCATGAGTATGGAATGTTTTTCCATTTTTTTTTATTGTCTATAATTTCTTTCATCAGTGTTTTGTAGTTCTTTTTGTAGAGATCTTTCACCTCCTTGATTAGACATATTCCTAGGTATTTTATTTATTTAGTTTCTTTTGTGGCTCTTGTTAATGAGGTTGTGTTCTTGATTTGCTTTCAGTGTTAATGTTATTGGTGTATAGAAATGCTATTTCTTTGTGTATGTTGATTTTGCATACTGAGACATTGCTGAAGTCATTTATCCAGGTCTAGGAGGCTTCTGGCAGAATCTTCAGGATTTTCTAGGCATATAATAATATCAGAGAAGAGAGATCATTTGACTTCTTCTTTTCCTCTTTGCATGCCTTTTGTTTCTTTCTCTTGCCTGATTGCTCTGGCTAGGACTTCCAGCACTACATTGTATGTGAGTGGTGAGAGTGGACATTCTTGTATTGTTCCAGTTCTTAAAAGGAATGTTCCCAACTTTTGCTTGTTCTGTATAATGTTTTCCATAGCTTTGTCATAAATGGCTCTTATTACTTTGGGTTATGTTCCTTTGATGCCCAGTTTGTTGAGGATTTTTATCACGAAGGAATTTTGAGTTTTACTGAATGCTTTTTCCTCATGTATTGAGATAATCATATGAGTTTTGTTTTTAATTATATTTATGTGGTGAGTCACATTTATTGATTTGCATATGTTGAACAATCTTTGCATCCCTGGAATAAAGCCCATTTGATTTTGATGAATTATATTTTTTTGCACTGCTGGATTTTCTATTTTTTTTAATGTCTAATAAAATTTGGCTATGATCATCTGGTCAATGGCTTTTCTGGTTGGTAGGTTTTTTTAATTACTAATTCCATTTCATTACTTGTTATTAGTCTGTTCAGGCTTTCTATATCTTCCTGGTTCAATCTTGGGAGGTTGTGTGTTTCTAGGAGTTGTCCGTTTCCCCTAGAGCTTCTAGTTTGTGTGCATGGATATGTTCATAGTAGTCTCTGAGGATCTTTTGTATTTCTGTGTGATGGGATGTGATGTCATCTTTATCATTTATGGTTATGCTTATTTGGATCTTCTTTTTTTCTCTTTGTCAATCTATTTAGTGGTCTGTCAATTTTGTTTATCATTTCAAAGAGCCACCTTCTCATTTCATTTATGTATGTTTTGGTATGTTTTTTAATCTCAAATTCATTTTATTTTGCTCTGATTTTAGTTATTTTTTTCTTCTTCTTGCTTTCAGATTGGGTTGTTTTTGTTTTTTCCACTTTCTTTTCTATTTTCGTTCTATTAACTTCAGGTTAGGTTGTTAATTTGAGATTTTTCTATCTTGTTGATATAAGTGTTTTGTGCTATAAACTTTCCACGTAACACTGCTTTTTCCGTATCCTAGAGGTTTTGGTGTGTTATGTCTCCGCTTTCTTTTGTTTCAAATTTTTTTTTTTTTGCCTTAATTTCATTCCTTACCCAAAAGCCACTCAAGGGCAAGTTGCTTAGTTTCCATGTATTTTTGTGGTTTTGAGAATTCCTTTTAGTATTGATTTCTATTTTTATTTCACTGTGATCCAAGAAGATGCTTCGTATGATTTTGATTTTTTTGAATTTATCAAGGCTTTATGACCAATCATGTGGCCAATCTTGGAGTACATTCCACGTGCAGATAAGAATAATGTATATTTTGTGGTTGTTGGGTGGAGTATTCTCTACATGTCTATTAGGTCCAATCAAATGTCAAATTTAAGTCCAGAATTTCTGTTAGTTTTCTGCCTTGATGATCTCTCTAATGCTGTCAGTGGGATGTTGAAATCCACCACTACTATTGTGTGGATATCTAAGTCTTTTCTCAGGTCTACAAGCAATTACTATTATTTTTTAAAATCCAAGTGCTTTAATTTTGGGTGTGTGTAAATTTAGGATATTTCAACCTTGTTGAATTGAATCATTTATTATTATGTAATGTCCTTCTTTGTTCTTTTTCACTTTTGTTGGTTTAAAGTCTGTTTTATCTGATACAAGAATAGCAGCCCTTGCTCTTTTTGGCTTTCCATTTGAGTGACAGTCTTTCTCCATCCCTTTACTTTGAGCCTATGAGTGTCATTACATGTGAGATGGGTCACAAAAACAACAGAAGGAAAGGTCCTATATTTGCATCTAATTTGTCGTTCTGTCTTTTAAGTGGAGCATTTAGGCCATTTACATTCAACGATAATATTGATATGTGAGGCTTTGTCCCTGTTGCAGGTTTGCTAGCTACTTACTTTGTAGCTTTGATTGTGGAATTGTTTAATAGAGTTCATGAGGCCTGTGCCTACACGTGCTTTCTGTAGTCTCTGGCTTGAAATTAAAATGCCTGCTTAGCTGCCACTGTCAGATCGCCAAACAATGACTGATGTTGTATGAGGCCAGATTAAAAAGGGAATCCTCCTCTTGTTCCTGAGTCTAGGAAAATGCCTGCAGCTTTCCCCAGGGTCTTTCCATCTTTTCACCTCTCCCCAAGTTAGCTCCAGGGCTTGAGAGAAATAGGGTGCTCTCCCTTTGCTTGGGTTGCACAGATTCTTAGTGGATAGGTGATTCACAGAGAGAGACTGACTGCCCCTCTCACATACTGGTGTTTCACTTACTTCTGTTACCCAAATGTTGTCATAGGGACTGTTTGCCCACCTTCTCCTCTCTAGGTCTGGTTGTCCTTTGCTATTCTGGTGAATAATTCCAGTCTTCTTTCTTGAAGTAAAACTCTCAGAGTTAATTTTTCTGCACATTTTTCTGTTTATAAGTGGCTGATGCATGCTAAAAGCTGCTATCCACCATGTTAGTGAAAAAGAAGCTTAGTGATTTTAATAAATAAATGTCATCTTAAAAAGATCTAAAAGTTAAGAACAGGGCAGGCAGTAAGTTAACATATCTGCTATACCCTAAAATAATTTTTTAATTAAGCACAGAATGTATTATCTTGTACTTTCAACATGGAACTTACTTCTCTGAGGAAAGACACAATGATGATTCTCATGAAAAACAGTAATTATTTTATAGGGCAGGCATGGGGCTAATCACTGCTTGTTGTACTAGAATGTCAGCCCAGACCTTGCTACTCGTAGGCTTGCTTCTTCACATCCTAAACTTTTTGAACTATTTCTTCACAGAAGGGAGACAGAGAAAATAAAAAGGCACTGTGATCTTCCTGGGAGATGAAGCCATGTTTTATTTCACTTTCTAGCCTTAAGTATCTAAAAGGTTGTAGTAAGTGTTCAAGAATAGAAAGTAGAAAGAAAGGAAATAAGATCCAGTATAGGAAAAGCTATAAGGAATTGTGAAGAAGCATAAATAGAGAAGGAGAAAATGAGCCAGAAATGGAATATTATGTAGGAAGAAATATGTTTCTTATATATTTTTCTTGGTATAAAGTATGAACTTGTAAAAGGGTGAAAAGAGAAGAACAGAAAGGAAAGGAAAGGAAAGGAAGAGAACTGCAATAGAGAGTGATGAGTGAGGAACACAACAGGATACGTGGGTCATGTCTAAGGATCAGGTTTGGGTGAACCTGACAATCAAATATACTGGGCTTATGTATGACCAATAGTCATTTCTAAAGGTAGCACATGCCACTTGCAGCTCATATGGGAATTGATATCTACTTATTCTATTTAAAAAGAATAATCTAAATTATTCTTTAGATTAATTGCCAAACTATGGGTACTGCACTAATTCATTTTCAGGGCACTCCTTAATTAGAAAAGGAATGGAAAATATCACAAGAGACATGAAATTATGCAGTTGAGAGCACAGAAGGGAGATGGTAAATCTGTTGCCATTTAAATTGCCCAAGTCTATTTCTTCTTTCTCAGATGAAACGCAAGGCCCAAAGATCTTTCATCACTGTCTCCAAGACAGGGAGAAAAGGTTTCAGGGCAATTGCACAAATGAGCATGGGTAACACTGCCTGAGAGGTTGTTAGAAGGCTAACGTAAGTTTAACACTCTCTTACCCAGAATGTTTGAATCTTCTCCATAAGCAGCGATACAGACTTTGCTTGAACACCTTTACCTCTGTCAAATTCATTAGCAAATGTAT
Organism: Homo sapiens; assembly: GCF_000001405.40. Classification (NCBI taxonomy): domain Eukaryota; kingdom Metazoa; phylum Chordata; class Mammalia; order Primates; family Hominidae; genus Homo; species Homo sapiens. Next base: position 49,210,441 of record NC_000006.12, on the reverse strand, counting down.
GAAAATTTGCTAACATTCGAGACTGCCTTTTCCATTTTTGGACAATTCTGTTAAAAATTTCTTCGTCTTCCTTTCTTCTTCCTTGATTGAGCTGCCATCTGTTTCCCTATAACTTAAACTCATTTCTTTTAATTTGACCATCTGTGTTCACACTGAACAAATTTGTCTATTTGTTATGTCCACTCTTCCTATGTCTTCTCTTCTTCCAGTTTTTGTCAAATGTTTTTCACATATGGTTCCCACAATATTCAGGTTACATCTTATTTAACACCTTATGCTATACTCTTAAATTTATGTTTTTTCTATACATATATCAGTAGAGAGGAGTTAAATACTCAGTCATCAAACTTGAAATCCTATTGTAAGATATTTTCTCTGAAATAAATTAGTATGTTGTACTTTTCTACTATATTTGCAAACAAAATAACAAATGCAGCATTCTTTTGCTCTTTATTAAAAATATAAATATTTTTAATGATGCAATTTCATTGAGCCTCCTAATGTTTAAAATTTCTGTATCTCAGTTTTTAAAAATATAGAGAATATCATGTCTTGCTGAAAATAATCAAAGACACATAAGAGTAGTATATGAAATTAAAAATTAAATCTATCATGCCTTTAACTACTTACATACTACAAAATGAAAAGACATTACTAAGAAAATTTTAGGCATGATCAAACTATAGGTATGCCCCCTGAATTAGCAAAATTCATATACCCCTCTTATACTACTAAACATGGACCTATTTTATAAATTACCTCCCTCAGTTACAAAGAAAGGAAATTAATAATAACAGACAAAATTGTTTATTCAATCAAGGATAGAGGAAGAATAACCCCGCAAAATGGGAAACAATTTCTGTTTTGTTAATTTTGGATAAAAGGTGTTTTTGGCACTGGTAGGCACTTTTATAAATCCCTGCCTCTTCAAATATCTGTGTCAAAAGCAAAAATTGCAGTGGACAAAGTTACACAAGTAAGGAAGACTTTCTTCAAGGCTATTGCAATAGAATAGAAACACCAGAGCTCAGTCTGAGCTCAACTCCACAGAAAGACATGGTAGAAGAGGAGTGTGTGTGTGTGTGTGTGTGTGTGTGTGTGTGCGTGTGTCTGGGACTGAAAAGGATCACTGGCTATCTGTGTTTGCTAACTGACCTTACCCAAAGGAAAAGTAAACTTTTTTTCTCATCTTCATGACAGAAGGTTCTTGTAAAACCATGAGCAAGGAGCTAATCTAAGTCAGGTTTCTATTCTCCCACACTAACTGGTAGAAAGTGGGGCTCTCTCTCTTGATGATTACATTTCAAAGGAACGGCTCTCAAGGACCTATGAAAGACTTTGTTACAAAACTGGTCAGAGACTTTTAAGAAGATTTATATCACAAAGAGGCAGAAAAAGAATTGGCAATCACAAATTTTCTAAAGAAAATGCTCTAAGAAAAGGGAGAAGAGTGACTTAGAGTTAGGAAGAAGCCTGTCTAAGGTTTAGCCAAGCTGAGGGGAATGTTTAGGCCCTCTTGGCCAAACCTGACTGATATGGTTTGACTCTGTGTACCCATCCAAATCTCATCTTGTAGCTCCCATAATTCCCACATGTTGTGGGAGGGACCCAGAGGGAGATGATTGAATCATGGGGGCAGGTCTTTCCCATTCTGTTCTTGTGATAGTGAATGGGTCTCACAAGATCTGATGGTTTTAAAAATGGGAATTTCTCTGCACAAGCTCTCTTTTTGCCTGCTTCCATCCACGTAAGATGTGATTTGCTCCTGCTTGCCTTCTGCCATAATTGTAAGGCCTCCCCAGCCACATGGAACTGTAAATCCAATAAACTTTTCTTTTATAAATTGCCCAGTCTTGGGTATGTCTTTATCAGCAGCATGAAAACAAACTAATACAGTAAATTGGTGCCAGCAGAGTGGAGTGCTGCTGAAAAGATACCCGAAAATGTGGAAGTGACTTTGAAACTGGGTAACAGGCAGAGGTGGAAACATTTTGGAGGGCTCAGAGGAACGCAGGAAAATGTGAGAAAGTGTGGAACTTCCTAGAGACTTGTGGAATGGCTTTGACCAAAATGCTGATAGCAATATGGACAATAATGTCCAGGCTGAGGTGGTCTCAGATGGAAATGCAGAAATTGTTGGGAACTGGACCAAAGGTGATTCTTGTTATGTATTAGCAAAGAAACTGGGAGTATTTTGTCCTTGCCTTAGAGATCTGTGGAACTTTGAACTTGAGAAAGATGATTTAGGGTATCTGGTGGAAGAAATTTCTAAGCAGCAGAGCATTCCAAAGGTGACTTGGGTGCTGATAAAGGCATTCAGTTTTATAAGGGAAGGAGAACATAAAAGTTTGGAAAATTTGCAGCCTGACAATACAATAGAAAAGAAAATCCCATTTTCTGAAGAGAAATTCAAGCTGGCTGCAAAAATTCACAATAATTAATGAGGATTGAACGCTAATCACCAAGACAATGAGAAAAATGTCTCCAGGGCATGTCAGAGACCTCTGCGGCATGCCCCTCCCATCACAGGCCCAGGGGAAGAAAAAGTGGTTTTGTGGTCCCGGCCTAGGTTCCTTGTACTATGTGCAGCCTAGGGACTCGGTGCCCTGAGTTCCAGCTGCTCCAGCCATGACTGAAAGGGGACAATGTAGAGCTCAGGCCATGGCTTCAGAGGATGCAAGCCTCAAGTCTTGGCAGCTTCCACGTGGTATTGAGCCTGCAAGTGCACAGAAGCCAAGAGTTGAGGTGTTGTTACCACCCCATATATTTCAGATGTATAGAAACACCTGAATGCCTGGGCAGAAGTTTGCTGTAGGGGCGAGGCTGTCATGGAGAACCTATGCTAGGGCAATGCAGAAGGGAAATACAGGGTGGGAGCCCCTGGGGCACCACCTAGTAGAGCTGTGAGAAGAGGGCCACCATCCTCTAGACCCCAGAATGGCAGATCCACTGACAACTTTGCACTATGTGTCTGGAAAAGCCGCAGACACTCAATGCTAGCCTGTGAAAGCAGCCTGGAGGGGGTACACCCTGCAAAACCAAAGGGGCAGTGCTGCCCAAGACCGTGGGAGCCCATCTCCTACATCAGTGTGACCTGGAAGTGGAAAATGGTATCAAAGGAGATCATTTTGGAGCTTTAAGATTTGACTAACCTGCTGGATTATGGACTTGCATGGGGCCTGTAACCTCTTCATTTTGGCCAATTTCTCCAATTTGGTATGGCTGTATTTACCCAATGCCTGTACCCCCATTTTAACTAGGAAGTAACTAACTTGCTTTTGATTTTACAGTCTCATAGGCAGAAGGGACTTGCCTTGTCTCGATGAGACTTTGGACTGTGGACTTTTGAGTTAATCCTAAAATGAGTGAAGACTTTGAGGGACTGTTGTGAAGGCATGATTGGTTTTGAAATGTGAGGATATAAAATATAAGATTAAAATGTGAAGATATAAGATATATGATTTGGGCCAGGAGTGGAATGATATGGTTTGACTCTGTGTCCCAACCCAAATCTCATCTTTTAGCTCCCATAATTCTCATATGTTGTGGGAGGGTCCCAGAGGGATGATTGAATCATGGGTGTGGGTCTTTCCTGTGCTGTTCTCATGATAGTGAATGGGTCTCATTAGATCTGATGGTTTTAAAAATGGGAGTTTCTCTACACAAGCTCTTTTTTTGCCTGCTGCCATTCATGTAAGATGTGACTTGCTCCTCCTTGCCTTCTGCCATAATTGTTAACTTACAGTTCCCAACCATGTGGAACTGTAAGTCCATTAAACCTCTTTCTTTTGTAAATTGCCCAGTCTTGGGTATGTCTTTATCAGCAGAGTGAAAATGTACTCATACACTGACCTTGGAATACTTTAAGAGTTTACATCCCTTTCTGTTCTTATTTTGCTTTCAGTTGAGGGTCAGCAAACTCTAACAGTCAGGAATGCTTCCAATGTGTCTACATCCAAGAGTATTGGCTAAAATGTTCCCAGGCAGCAATAACAAAAAAGAAATTAATTTCTCTCTTACTTCAATGTTCACTTTATTTCTGCCCTATAATCAAACTTTTCTGAGGATGACTGACAATAAAATATCTGTTCTTTCTCAGAGAAACTTATACCTCATCCATCACTGTGAGATAGTTCCCAATGACCCAGACAGAATAATCACTGAGGTACATTTCACAGATACAAGTTATTCAGCCTTTAATGACAACATTGCAATTAGACTCTTCAGTGTCAAGGCAAGTATATTTTATATTTCCTTCCACTATCTGTATTTCTGATCTCTTGTGAATAATTCTCTTGGACAAAAATCACAGACCTATCAAGAACAAGTCATAATTTCAATGTAATTGGAAGTTATAATCCATGTTTGAAAAAACAAACCTATAACTCTAATGTGTCACAGTTCTGTCAAAGATTTTCAGTTCATATTATTAAGCTCATTCGGGAGCATCCATATTTAGACTTCTCCACTGTATATGAAAGTTCCCCCAAAATAATAAGTAGGTACTTGCTTGCATTACTATAAGGGCCCTTTTAGAATACGAGAGTCTTTCCTGAAGGCAAATTTTAGTTTCCCCCCTGGTAGACAGAAACAGCTTGAATTTCCCCCAAATAATAGCTTCTTTTTTCCAGCCTAATAAAAGCTTTACTCTTCTTTCCATACCAGGTGCCCTGCTACAATTAGTTTATGGTAATTGGCCAGCATCTGCCCTGTTTCCATTTTCCTCCAGGTAATTCGGTTAGATGATTGCTTACAGCTGCTAAGACTAAATTTGGAACTTATTCTGTATCTAGGAGCATTCTAGTAATTCCCATTAGTGTTTACAATTAATGTTTTCAGGATCTTAAAAAAATAGAGAGATGACTCTAAATAATGAAGGATTTGTATTTCTCTGATATATAGAAAGAATTATCTTCTCTGGATGTAGCTATATATCTCTCGTTCAGGTTAATTATTGTTTGTGTGCATTTGTCAAGAGAGGACTATATCAGTCAGCTGCATTTGTTCTAGTTTCATAATCAAGTTTTAAAACATGAATAGAGGAAAATAATCTATATTGTCTGGAATTTAAAACCAAGTTGTATCCCAAAAAGATACATGCTTCAGTTTCTTATAGAATTTTAAGGAGAAAAGTCATAAAAATGTTTATTCCAATTTTAGGAGGCTGAAATCAGATTTATTATATGATAAGACATTCATCTTGGTGATACAGAGCAAATTAAATATATTATTTTAATTTTAAGCAAAAATTTATTGAAAACATGATGTTGATAACAATAATCTTTTAAGCAAAGTAACTATGAAATAGTCTATTTCATGCAGGATGTAACTAAACCCACAGAGCTCAGTTATATCTCATGGAACATCTTATGGTTTACATGGTGCTATTACCTAAGTGTAATGAATGGAGAAATTTCCACCTTCCAAAAACACTGTCAGACCTCAGGATTAAAATAGGTAACAGAACCATGTAGTAAGACAACAGTGGTATAGTGAAAAATATTTAAGTACAGAAGAAGAAAAAAAGAAAAAGAAGTGTAAAAATCATGAGGGAGTAAAGAACTAAATGTGTTTCACCATCAGATTGGAATATTAATGTGATCAAGTGCCATGAGTAAAGAAGAGGGTGGTGGGAAAGAACGTCAAAGAGGATGGCTTAGGCTAGAGCTTTCAGTGATGCATGTGACTACATAGGCATAGTTTTAATCAGGTAGTCAGTGTTAGTGTCCCACCAGGTGAACAACATTATATGAGAATATCTGGGGACAGGAGTCAGCTGACAAGAATAGTTTGATATAGTTGTGTTACATTTGTCATTTTTTTGTGAGAAAGAAATGAACATTTAAAACTTTTAGAAAAAGGGCAGAAAAACAGTGTCCCATTGTGGATTCTTGGTAAATTAGGGGTAACCACCAGAAGAAAAAAAATCATATGTAAATTTTGAGCTATTGGAAGAGATTTCAATCTGAGCAACAGAAATTAGAAAAGAAAAAGAGGAAGAGAAGGAAAAGGAGAAGGAAGAGAGAAAGGGAAAAAAGAAAAAAGACAAATTGTAGTAAATAAAAACATTAAATTATACGGCAGATATAAATCTTTAGTTACGTGATGTTAGTGAAAATGGTTAGGGAAGGATGTCTAAAAATTTCTTCCTCCATAAAAGCAACAACAAAAACTTGCAAATATAATAAAATTCAACCTGATCAGAACTTTAGAAATTAGCCAAAAGCTTGTAACAATTTAGGCAGAATCTGTTCAAGAAAACTGGTTGCATCGGTGATGTAGGATTTTTCTCAGCAGGATCTGGCCAGCTTCTCTGGGTGCTGACATAGGAGCAAACTCCATGCAGGGCCCACAGCGAGACTAGATGTGTCACTTAGAGGGGAATGCAGTAGTGCCCAGGTGAGGGTGCCTGTGACCCTGAAGCCCTAGAGGGGGAGTTACGATGCTCCTTTAGCAGCTCAATGCTGCCGCGTCACGTGGGGTGGCTACCTTCCTCCAACAAGGGCAAAGGGCTGATGTTACAGCCTTTCTGAGTACTTGCACTCAGTGGGTCCCAAGTTCTTGTCCCACATTCAAGAAGAATGAAGTCATGTGGACAATTGAAGGATAGTAAAGGTGGAGAATTTTATTGAGTGATGAAAATGGCTGTCAGCAGAGAGGGGAACTGGAGAGGGGTTGGAAAGTGCAGGTCATCTTCCCTGAAGTCAGGTTGTCTCTTCCCTGAAGTCAAGCCATCTCGTCCTCTACTGAATGAGTCTGGGTTCTTTATAAGCACAGGATGGAGAATGCATGCTGATTGGTTTGTGAGTATGCACAAAAGGTTAAAGCAAAGACACCAATCAAAGGTGGGCAGGACAGCATAGAAAACTAATTAGGAAAGGGTAGGTATATGTAAAATAGGTGAAGGGTGAGGATCAATCAGAGGAAAGCACGTCAAACAGGAAGATAGGTTCTCAAACTGGTCCAAGGATTTAACTTGTAGCTTGGCTTTCAGGCTTTAAACTCTCTTTGGCTTGGAGGTGGGGCTTCACCAGATACTCATACCTATCTGCCTAGGCATTTGGCTGCCTCCTGTTGTTATAGTCAGCATAATTGCATCTTTGCAAAATGAGCTTTGTGGTGTTGTAACCAGCCCTAGTTCCATCCCATTTTCAGATTTTTCAGTAGCCTAAAATACTAACAGCCAATATTCATGGTGAAAACGAGCAGCCTGGAAGCCACTGGAGGGAGAGGAACCAAACTTGAGCTAGTTCAGTGCCTCCTTCTGAGAAAATTATAATCACTTGATCTGTCTAGTGGTTCCCTGGAAAACCCCATTTGCAATGCTGCCTGTATTTAAGCTGAGTCAGAACTCATCTAGTGTGAAAGGCCTTTTTGCTGGAGAGAAGCATTTGAGGAGAAAGAGTGAGGTAGGCAAAGAAAGAGAAAGAAAGAGAGAAACACGGGAAATGTGGTTTCATGCTGCTCTCCTGGGATTATAGTTGTTTTAATCAGAAGGAAAGAACCCACTCCCTTCATTATTGTTTTACATACCTGTGTATCTTTGTTGTTGCTGCTGCCACTACTGCTACCACCAAAAGATTGATTGGGGACTGGGGCACTAGAGAATGGAAAAAAAAATAAATGAGATTTCCCCCACTCTCTATTAGTATTAAGAGACCCCTCACCTTCTCCTCAAGTCAGCTCTAAAAAGCTGCTCTAGGATCTCTGTTGATACTGATGTCTGCTTTGAGGTTTTAGCGTGTGTTGAGTGGAAGCCTCAGGACACTAGAAAAGAAAAGAAAAGGAAAAGAAAAGAAAAGAAAAGAATTAAAAGACAAGACAAGACAACACTACACACACCACACGTATTGTGATACCTAGAATTCTGCTCCTCACCAATCCACCTACCATGATTTATTTTCCAGTCCTCACTTTACTGCTTCAAGCATTATCTCAAGGTTATTATGGTTGTATCTGTGAAAGTAAAATAAAAATCTCAGGACCTCAAACCACTATGCCAAAGAGAAAAGTTAAGCTTAGGAATTGAGTCACACAAAACTGCCTCCCAGTTTGTTCCTAAATAAATAGCTACAAAGATAGAAGGCTACATATCTCCTCAGAGGGTCTCCCTCTTAATTTGCTCACAAGGATATATCTTGTGAGCTCCAAGATTTTTATCCTAAAACAGTTCTGTTGAAATTTCACCCTGACAATATAGTTTAACAGTTTATCTTCACAGGTACAGGACAAAGAAAGAACTGAGAGTCATCCCTTGATCAGGCTCACCTGAGACAAATGCATATCTGATTGCTTCATCTACTGTATGTTTACTTTATTTTACGTAAAAATGCAGATTCACTGAGCACAAATCTAGTTAACTATTCCTCTACCGCCCCCCTTTCACCTGTAAAATATGGATTCAGTGTATGTTGATCAAAGCCTCAGAAGAATGTCACCCTATACTCTTTTATCTACCCTCCCACATTTTTTCTTTCTTCTTTCTCCTACTGCCCACTCTTTTCCCTTTAAATGCTGAAGTCCCCAAATCCTTTTTTGGAAAAAGCATGAGTTTTGTGTTCCTTTTTTCTAGGAAGTTCCTCAATCTTGGCAAAATAAACCTCTAAATCAATTGAGACCCGTCTCATACTTTTTGGTTTGCACATCCACTGGGAGAGACAGGGTCATGTGTACTCACTCTTATGCAGAGCCAGAAACTTATATCTATTTTTTTCCTTTATCTTTCTTGCATTTTCAATTATGCAATCTGATCCCCTTTGCATATTTTTTGTGTTCTTTCTCTAATAAGGTAGAAAAAATGGAAACAAGAAAGGAAAAAAAGGAAAGAGTAAAGGGAAGGTGAAAGGGAAGAACCAAGGAAAATTAGAAAAAAAGGAGGAAGAAAGGAAAGAAGACAAGACGGAGGAAAAGAGAAATATCTTTTATACTACAGTTGTTCTAAAATATTTTTGTTTCTAAAAACATTATTCAAAGGACACACAAAACCAAGCTTGTATCACAATAATTGATATATAAAAGCAGAGAGGTATTGGGTCATAAGCTTAAAACTGTGCTTTGTCTTCCTTTCTTGTCAAATTGTTACAGAAATTTGTGATATTATTTATTTTTAGGGATGTCCAATAATAAATCTGACGTCTTGTGCCATTTCTGCCACAGAAATAAAACAATTTGATGTTTCCCCTCACACACTGCTGAAACATATCAGTGTTTTCTGATTCTTAAGTTGTTTGGCAATAAAAAATATTTCCTGACCCTTCTGTAAAATATCTGTCTCTGTGCTTTATCCGATCTCATCTCATGCAAGCCAGGGGCTATTTTGTAAATTGATACATTGGTTATCCAAATGCTTGTGAGCATTTAAGTTATATTTACAGTAAGTTTTTGTCAGAAATAGATTTTTTTCTTAGAAATCGAGCTTATTATTTTGCTTTATAGTTAAGTTTATATGGTTTTTTTTTCTGTTTATTATGTATGGAAGATCAGTATTTAGAATGGGACCAGAGCTCAATTTTCTAGATTTAGCTGGTATTAACCAGCTAGGATAATATTGTGGATGTAAATTATGTAATCTAAATATCTAGAGGATCGCTAGGCAATGGGCTTATTTCAGTGTTATTTTTCTGTCAGCTGTATATGCAAGGGAGTAAATATGTTGAAAGAAATATGTTGAAATATATTAAAGGAAGGAAGCTACACTCACTGTAAATTCGAAGGATGCCTGGAAGACTTTTAGGGTACAACTCCTAGTCATTTATTTTATGAAAGAATGAGAATTCTATAAGAAACATCTTCTGAACCAGAATGGAAACATATAAGCTTGGCCTGGAACAATAGACCATTAGCCAAGAGGAGAACTGATGTTGACTACAAGAGTGTGCTATTTGGGTTACTTTCTATTCCAGCTCTCCCTGATCTACTCCTGAGCCCTCAGGTGAGGATACTTCAGAGAAGACTAAAAGAGCCACATCTTTGGTATGTTCTTAAGATCTGAGTGATCTGGGCAATGTTGCTTTCTCAGCCACTTACATAAATAGAGGTGGATGGCATTTGCTCTGCCTCAAATAAGTCAATAAATTAAGACGTAGAATAGAGGAGTAGCAGGATATGTCTTGAATCACAGAGAGAAAGGAAATGTGAGAATGATAAAGGCATAGCAACTTCTTGGTTAGTCTCCTACAAAGGCAACATCAGGAGTAGAAAAAGGAAAATGTTAGATGTTCTGGGACAACTAGAAGGCCCAGGATCACCTGGAAGGTAGCCCTTAGAGTCCTCTGGAGCTAGTTTAGAAGAATGTTAGCCCTGCTAAAATTCCCCAAACTGGGATGTGCAACAAAATAATCTAATTTTGTTATTGTTATGATACTTCTGTACCTGGAAACTGTTTCATATGAGAAACATAAATTACATATGTGTTTCTTTTTCTGTTACCAGAAAGAATAGAATAAGATCTAGAACTTATAAATATTGAATATAACACCTGAGAACATAAGTAAAATTTTGTTGAATATAATGTATTTCTACCCATTTCTTATGTCCCTTTCCAATTTACCTTGTTTCAGAGTTTCAGAGGACTTGAATCAGCATAAACAAAAATGAACAAACAAGTCAAGGGCCCAGAGCCATTGTAGCTGAGAAGTGACACAGTAGTTACGTGCTGCATCTGGGTACCAAAAGATACAGTTTTGATTACCATTATGTTTCTCATTTGATCCTAGCAATTACTTTATAAATATTTGCATTATTCTGTGGGCTCTAAACCTGTTCATGAGAAGCTATTAAAAAGATTGAGCTTATTTTTTTTAAAGTAATATTTCCTAAATCCTTTGCAGGTGTTTTGAATATAATATAAAGATTGCTCGCACGCTCTCTCTCTCTTTCTCTCTCTCCTCTCTCTCTGGAGTTTTACTGATCTAGAAAGTCCTAAACTTTGGGAACTATCACAACCTTGTTATTAAGGAAAATATGCTAAACTGAGTTTTAGGATATCTACCTTCTTAACCCACATTCCAAGGAAGGGACTTTAGGCATCATGTAAGCCAGTGGTTTTCAGCGTGGGAAGGTGGGTATCAGAATCATTTAGATCATCCTGTTTCTGGACAGGAGATAATGGATTAGTAGGACATCCTTGTCAACGTACATTTGTTGATCACCCAAAGCAGCAACATTTTTCTGAACACTAGTAATCAACCAAGTCAGTGTTCATTTATTGATCACCCAAAGTAGAAGCAGTTTTAAGAACACTAGTAATTTGTCAAAATATTTCAGGTAGCTATTTCCTTGCAATTAGTGCTGGTTCTGCTTGAAATGTGAGCACATCCCTAGATGCAAGAGTAGATAGCTGCCTAAGACCACGCGGTATTCACAGCATCCAAGAAGCAAGACAATTTAACAATTAATATTTCTTCATCAATGATTATATAAAATATATATGTATATCAGCATTCTGAAAAATTTGAATAGAAAATTTGAAATCAACTTAAAACTGAAAAGCTAAAATTGAACTGCTCAGAACTCTGATTTACAAAAATGAGCACATAGTTTGAAAAATGTCAAAGATAGGAATGACACCGACTGTGCAAATAAATCTATCAGGGTGTTACCTTAAGTGCTCTGATGCCAAGGCTGTAAACAACTTGAGAGCACAGTCCATAGTTTTTCATTTTGTTAAACTCCTTTTACTTGTGCATTCATTCACTGAATTATTAAGGACACACTTAAGGCCACCACTATGCTAGGCATAAGGACAGTCAGGAATAAGTTAGGCATGATACTCCTGTCTAGAGCATTGGTGAAAATAAGGTAGATTTTAATAACCTTTTACTGAATTGAACTCTTCTTCCTTCCTTTTCCTTCCCTCAATTTTTTTCTGCAAACATTCAATTATCTATTAATGATGATGAGTTAACACGGTTGTATATCTAATCTGTGCATTTTTAAGACTTCTATTTAAAGAGACTTGTGTGTGGTTTGTAAAATTTTGACTCTTTTTAATTTAGCTTTTCTAATCTTTACTCATTACCAAGAACATTTTTATAATGAGTGGTGAGGGGCTTAACATAATTTTCAATCATTGCCCCTCTTCAGAGCTTTTTTATGTTATGTCCTGACTCATTTGCCATTTTAATTGTGCTTTTACTTTAATCACTAGCATATCTTCTTTCTCAATCCTCTTTTAATGCTATTTTTGTAATGAGGACCATTAATCTATTTTGCTGACATTTCATTACATGTCTGCAAAATATGACTAACTGGCATTAGACTTTTGTCTCTATGGTAAGCCAGCTTCCATTGGATATATTGTTTGCATTTTTATATTCTTTTTACATTTTTTATTGTTAGACTTAGTGATAGTTTTATCTTCCTGTATACTTATTTTATCTTCCAAAACGTCAGGAACAGCATTATTTATTCAAAAGTAATAGATACTTAACACTGGGTAATATAATCTATTTTTTTCTGACCTTCAATAGTGACATTTGCTATCATGCCACCTAGTGGGTTCGTGTTTCTTGTTAGTGTATTCTCTCAATGAGTATACATCAAATCTCATTATGTTGCAAAGAAAACATGGCCTTAATATACTTAGCTTATATTCAGAATAACTTCTGTTTTTTTTCTCATTTTGCAGTCTTCAGTGCTATTTCTGGTTACCATTAACAATGGTTGGTGAATCACTAAATACAATTGGGGAAAGGAGTAGATCACAGAGGTCAATTTTCTAGGATCTAATTGCCTTTTTTAAAAGATAAATATGACAATTTGAGTGGCTCTAAGTCCTAATTAATTTACATTGTTAGGGAATAGAACTCCTGCCATCATGGTTAACCTGAATATATCACTATTAGTCATAAGATAGCAGAATAAAAAATAGAGAAGACAATTTTAAGCTAATTCCAGTAATTCTCAGAAATTTCATGTAAATGTTGCATAAGCGAAGGCCTACTATGTCCTGGGCAGAAAGACTCTTAATTTCCAATAGATTCTCAAAGGTATTCTTGATCCCCATGAAACTAAGAACAACCATTTTGGTCAAACTATTATGTGAATACTTTGGATAAGAAAATAGCCAATAGCCCATTGATGGTAGTTACTGAATTTGATGCTCACACTTCTGGGTCTGTTTTATGCTCTGGTTCCTTCAGAATAGTTTCTTTAAGAAGGAGAAAATTACTTTTTACACTCTTGCAATTCTCATAAATATATGGTTTGTGAATATATGCCCACTTTTACTTTGAATGTGTTACACACATTCAAATAAATATTCATATTGGTGAATATATACATACCTGAGAAGAGTTTTTAAAGTCATGACAGGTAGTTTATGAATTGACTCAAATAGCTGAAGAGATACATTTTAAAAAGTTTTCAGGACATCAAAAATTAGGTTTAGGAATTACTATAATCCAACTGATTATTGTAGACTATGTGGGAATATTATTTCTTGAAGGCTATCTATAGGAATGGATTCCAATGGCAATGATTTAAGTAGCTGAGTTAAACAAATCATTGCTTTTCTCCATGTTTTACTTTATCGTTTTTATCCATATAGGATGACTTCTTCAGCTTCAATTAACTGAGGACTAAGTCACAGATAAGAGACTATATGTTTCCAAAGCTATATGTTTCCTGTCTATAATACTCACCCAAGATTTCTAGGTAATTGTAAAAAAGTAAATTATATTATTTATCTAGAATAAATCTGGTAGGAAAAAGCCTTTTATTCATCCATGGAAAAGAAAAACTTAAATTTTTAAATGTCCACATTTAAGCAAGATACTAGTCTTTGCTCTGTACTTTCAATGAATCATGAAACATACTTCCCATTGAACCAGGAGGTTAACATAGACTACCTTGCATTGTAGAATACTAAGAAGATAAAGCTTTTGATAAGCAGAGATGCAGAAAAGGGGCATGGGCAAAGATAAGAATGACTAGAGTGTGCCTGGAGACCACGAGAAAATTAGTGTGACGAACCAGATAGATTGAAAAAGGGAGTACTAGAGAATAAACGTGAAAAGGCAATTTGTAGGTAAACAATGGAAGACTCTAAAATCTAAAATATTCCATAGTTACAAAGACTTTGGTGGGAACCACTTTCATATTCTAGCAAGATTAGAATGTAACACTGAAACATTTTCAGACCATTAATTTGGCAACTTTGTGCGGAATGATTTGGGAAGTCCTGGGGTTTGATGGGATGATGGAGGCAGGGGTACTTGAGAACATAATTACAAAAGTTTATGTGTGAGTTACTGCAAGTCTGCAAAAGTTTATGTGTGAGTTACTGCAAGTTTGGGTCAAGACAGTAAGAGGCAGTGCTAAAAGTGTGAGAGGCATCAAATAAACCACATAAAACATATTTAATCTGCCAAGGTTTACAAGAAAAAAGAGATAGAAAATTACACCAAAGAAATGAAAAAAAAATGTTTATGCAATGAACAGAAATGAAGCCTTTTAGGATAGGAAAGACAAGTTTTGTTTAGAAATGAAGGCACTCGGATGGCAGTGAGAATCAGGATCCAGGCTGAAGTGACTGATGCATACCTGCTGATTTATTCTAGGAGGTGGGGATAGCTGAAGGCAACCAGGAGCAGGCCCTTGTGCACCTTCTGGTGGAAACCATTTAGTTCTTTATGTGAATGGAACCACCAGGAGTTGTCTCAGGAAAGAAGGGTTATTGCTCTAGTCTTAGTATTTCTTGATGTCCACTTTTTCCTAAATATTTACTGAAATAAAACTAGTAGAAATTTATGAGGCACCTTCTAATTTCCAATAATAGTGCAAGGTAACATAGGCTATTTAAGAAATATAACAGTTTACTCCACACAAGTGTTTATGCTTTGGTAGAAGTGTATAATCGACTGGCTCAGAGTGGATTTTCAAGGGTTACCATAGAAATCATCATGTACTCTTCTTGGTATACAAACAGAGGGATATAGGAAAGTTGATAAATTCCAAAGGACAGGTATTTTCAGAAAAGACAGAAGAAATTGAGCATCTGTGCATTATTACAGAGAATCTGGAGACTAATGCAAATCACCACATTAGGGGGTTGGGATTAGTCTTTTACCAAAACCTTAATAAAAATAAAAATAAATTAAAAATAAATTTTAGAGCTACTAAACTGCAACCATCTAGCATTTTCTCATTCACTTCCTATTTCACTCATGTTTTCCCTGATGACTATTTATATATTTCCTTTCCCCTACTGACCTGTGGAAATAGCTTTCTCTGCAAAGTTGCCATTTTGCACAAATAGTACAGTACTGCTTCAGAGATTACATAGACTAAAACAGCCACACATTTTCTATTAGTCTGTGAAGCTGATTTGAGCTCTGCAGAATTAGAATACCCCTCTGGGTTTTCCAGTGTGCCAGTGTGATCAGTGGTGAGTGACCGCCCTTGGTATTTTCCTGCCTGGTGTGTTTCTCCTGAACTTGGAGGCAGTTTCACCTACCAGCCAGCAGAAAAATCTTTCTTTGCCTATCAAGGTAAGGTTGTAGTGAGGAGAAACATGGGGCAGGGGGAAAAGCCCTGAAGCAAGAACTGGAAACAAGGTTTGTGCCTGTTCTTATCTATCTATGTAACATTGCACATACCTTTTTAACACAGTGGGTCTTGTTTTTTATGTCACAACTCCTAAAATCTGGAGATAGGCAGGACCAAAAAAATAGCCATCATTTATATTCTATAAATTTTATTTTTTAAATTAAACAGAGATCAATAGGAATTAAATTTTAAACATTTCTACTGTAAAATAAAACATAGATAAAAAACCACACAAAATAAATTATACCTTAAGTCTCTCTGTCACCCAGATTGTATTCTGTTTACCAGCCACCCCAACTCCTCTCCCTGCCCCGTTGTCTTTCTCTCAAAGTAAGCCCTCTGCTGATCCACATGTAATCACTCCCATATGTTTCTTTATGGTTTTATCACACAAATATCTATTTCTGAGTACTATAATTTAGTCTTGCCAGTTTGGGGTTTTTGATATTTCTTTTACGTCTCCTTCAACGATAGAGGTTCCCCCTCCCTCCTGTTTCCCTTTTTCTCAGATTCATTCCTCCTTGTTTCTTCCCTTTGCTTTCATCTGAGCAGATTCCAATATGACACAAGTCTTGTCACTATTGGTAGTTTGTCTCACCCACTTGCAGTTTGGTGTTCATGAGGATATTGTCACCAAATTTTGTTGCAAATGTTGTCCATGGTTTTTTAGTTTTACAATCTGGTTGTTAACTTAAAAATGTGTGGGTATTCTGGAAGATTCAAAAACAAAACCATTGCTGTCATCTTCTCATAATTCTTGGTAATAATAATCTTACGTTAGATAATTGTGAAAAATAAAGATGGTCTATCCTGTTATGTGCTCATGCATTTGTTCCCAGTGTTTTGGGATTTTTTTCTGTCCTTTCGGGAATTGTATTTTAAAATTTCTCCCAACGTGTTGTTTCTCATATTATGAATGGATGCTGTGTTTTCCATGTACAGATGACATTCCAAGCCTACTATCAGTAGTGCTTGCATTTTACTTTTGTTATTTTTTAGGAATAATGATAGTTTTGAGCTATCTAGAATTTTTATCTCCTCTTTTCTATGAAAAATAACATATTGTTATAAGAGTAAAGGCCTAAAAATAAGTGTATCATTTTTGGGCAGAGTAGAAACAAGATTGAACACTTACCTTTGCTCATTATCCCATCTTCTGTCCATCGGTTTGATCTGCAACAACCTGATACATTTTATGGGAATATCTAGAGCAAAAGAAAAGTAATGGCATTCTTAGGATTCTGAAGAAACTTTGAGTGTGGACTTCTTTTTTTTTTTAAGTTTTTATTTGGGATATTTTTAGATTTCTAGAAAGTTGCAGAAATAGTACACAGTTTTCATATAAGCTTCATCCAATTTCCACTATGTTAACGTTGTATATGACCATGATACGCTTGTCGGAACTAAGACATTAGCATTGGTACAATAATATTAACTAAAGACTTCATTTGGATTTCATTCTTTTTTTCACTAATATCCTTTTTCTTTTGCTCAGAGATCCAATCCAGTATGTCCCTTTATGTTAGTCATCATGTCTTTTTAGTTCGCTTATTAATAGTTTATTAACCTCTCCTTGTTTTTCATGACTCTGACAGTTTTGAAGAGTCCTGGTTACATATTTTGTATAATGCCTCTCAATTTGGGTTTCTCTGATCTTTTTCTCATTATTAGAGTGAATAAATATGAGCTTACATTTTTATAGTTTGCTTTTGCACTCTCACTCCCCATTTAAAAATAATGGAAGGGTGGTCAAATATCCTGGCTAAATCAATAGACATTAGCTGGAAATGGATTTTGTCTATACAATGAGCGAACACTTCCTGATGGAACAGAAATACTGTGACAGATAATTTTTATGCAAGTTCCAGCTTCAGTATTACATTATTCTTCTAAATACTGGGAGCTTTTGGGGGTAGGGGGGGCAAAGAAACGTTAGTAAGAAAACGAAAATGTTCTAGTTGGTATGAGAAAATTTTCCATAAGAATAATGAACATTTCCATGCCCAGCATGACTACACATTGGGAATATTTTTTAACATTCTAATTTAGAAAAGATAATTTCTTACTAGACACACTCATAGAGGAATGGTTTAGGAATAGAATCAGGAAATACTTGAACTCATAAAAATCAAATACAATGAGTTTTCCTAGATAACTAAGGTTAAGAACTTTTTAAAAATTTCAGCTTTCTCCTGGATTTTGTTATCTTTGGGGCAATGCAGTAGATTTTAAAAGAATAATTTCTCTTCTCTTTGCATTATAATGATAATACCATAAATGCGTACCCACTAATAAGCTACAGCCAATTATCAATATTCAAATTGAAAGAATTTTTTTTTCAGATTTGTATATTTGCCCATCCACATTTCCAGTGCAAGTTAAGCATTTCTTGCTGGAGATGTTGGTTGGAGGAATGGGAGATTAATGCCATATTCCTATAATAACTTCTGAAATGGGGAACTTCATGGATTTACTACATAAGAGTTAAATAAGGATATCTCAGAATGATTAAAGAGTAAGCTTTTCATGAACATTTGACAAAATACTTTTTCTATCCCTATTTGGAAAGCTGGAAAGATAAGTTTTCTTTTTAAACATAAGTGAACCTACTTAGTATTGTAATAAATGGCTCCAGATTGAAGCAAATATCCACATGAATTTTAATCACCTAAATTCTGAAGTTACTCATTATTCAGCTAACTTATGAGTAGACATATTCAGCCACAGTAACTTCTGGGGTGCTTATGTGTACATTTCATACTCAGGGTAAAACATGCACTCATGAAAATGTAATGTTAATATGGCCATTTCTGCCTAAAGATTTTAGTGTACTTGAGTTTATGCTAGTGAAATTCCATTAAAAGTTTCACCGGCTGTGACCTTGATTAGCTTGGAATCTGTTATAAAATAGGGTACCTGATTAGAAAATCAAGAAGAAAGACTTAGCAGGTTGTCACAAACTGATTTACCAATCTGTTTACTACTGTGAATGCTAGATGCAAGCACAGCAGCAATAAAATGCAGTGTGCCCTACTCTTTAAATATGGACTTGTCTCTGAAAAATGGACTTTGAAACTATTTACAATAAACTTTTAGATTTTTATAGTCAAGTGAGTATCTAATGTTATGGGCCGAATGTGTCCCCCTAAAAGATGTTGAAATCAGATTAAATGAAGTCATTATGGTGGGCCCTAATCTAATATGACTGTGTCCTTACAAAAAGGAAATTCAGACACAGTGACAGACACACATAGGGAACACCATGTGAAGATAGAGATCAGCATGATGCGTTAGAATGAATTAGAATGACCCGTTATTTTATTGTTTGAAAATTTTTAGAAAGAATGATATTAATTCTTCTTTAAGCATTTGGTAGAATTTATCTGTGAATCAACTGGACTCTGGCTTTTATTTATGGAAAGTATTTAAATTATTAATTCAATATTTTTACTTGTTATAGATAATTTTTCTATTCCTTCTTGAGTTAGTTTGGGTAATTTTTGTCTTCCTAGGAATTGATCTATATATCAAAGTTGTCTAATTTGTTGACATGCAATTTCCCATAGTATTCTCTAAAAATTATTTTTATTTCTATAAGGTCATTATTAACATCCTCTCTTTTATACTTGATTTTAGCAATTTGAATTTCACTGATTTTTCTCATCAGTTTAGCTAAACATTGAAAATTTTCTTAAGCCTTCCACAGAACCAACTTTTGTTTTTTAAAATTTTCTCTATTCTTTTTAAAATTTAATTCTGCTATATTCTTTATTATGTCCTTCTTTCTGCTAACTTTGAGTTTAGTTTGCTTTTATATTTTTAGTTCTTAAACTGGAAGTAGGTTATTGATTTGAAAACTTTCTTTAATGTACGTGTTCACAGCTATAAATTTCCCCGTGAGCACTACTTTTTCTGCATCCCATAAGTTTTGGTATGTTGTGGTTTTGTTTTCATTCATTCACAATATTTTCTCATTTCCCATGTTACTTTTTCTTAGATCCATTTTTTATTTAGGAATGACTGTTTAATATTCACATATTCCAAACTTCCTTTAATTATTGATTTGTAATTTCATATCATTATAGTCAGAAAATACTCTGTATATACACTATTTCTAAATTTAATGAATAAAGTTTGCTTTATGGCCCAATATGTAGTCTATCCTGAAGAATGTTCCATGTGTACGTGAATGTCTAGTCTGATTTTTGGGATAGAATGTTCTACACATGGCTGTAAGGTCCAGGTGGTTTATACTGCTTTTGAAGTACTCTGTTTCCTTATGGTAAGGATAAACTATCTAGGATTGAAAATGGTATTTTAATATCTTCTATTATTATTTAATATCTTCTACTATTATTGTTTAATTGGCTATTTCTCTAATTGCATCAGTTTTAGCTTTATGTATGTTGGGACTCCTAGGTGCATATATATTTGTCATTGACATGCTCTCTTGGTAGATTGACCTTTTTAGCAAAATGTAGTATCTTTTTTTGTCCCTTATAATATATATATTACATTCTAATTTGTCTGATGTTAGTATAACCACTCTAGTTCTCTTTGTTTTCAGTTTGTATATTACTTTCATCTTTTACTTTCAACTTATTTTTGTCTTTGAATGTAAAGTACATCTTTTTGTGGACAGTACAAAGTTGCATAATGCTTTTTTAAAAATCTCATTAAGCCTATTTCTGTCTTTTGAATAAAATATTTATCTTTTAATGTTCAATATAATTACAAAAGATAGAGATTATGTCTATCAATCATATTAGTTTTTTCTACATGTCTTTTGTCTTATTTTTCTATTTCTTCATTACTGCCTTCTTTTTGTTAAATAGACATTATTCTAGTAGCATTTTAAATCCCTTATTGTTTCTTTTACAATATATTTTAAAAACTGTTTGTTTAGTAGTTCCCTTACAGAATTTAATTACCATCTTAATTTCAAACAATCTCATTTGGATAATAATAACTTAACTTCAATATTACCAGAACTGAACTCCGGTATAGCTCTGTTCTCTCCCCCATCCTTTGTGTAATGATTTTATAAAAATTTATGAAAAGTTCTTACCGTGTAAGAATATATCTAAATCATATTTACACATGATAAGCCTATCAATAAAGTTTTATAATTATTGTTTTATGTAGTTGGTTTTTAAATTATATAGATGAAAATACATTTGTACTGGTTTTTATATTTGCCTTTTCAGTACTCTTTCTTTCTTTTTTTTTTTTTTTTTTGAGACGGAGTCTCACTCTGTCGCCCAGGCTGGAGTGCAGTGGCGCGATCTCGGCTCACTGCAAGCTCCGCCTCCTGGGTTCACGCCATTCTCCTGCCTCAGCCTCCCAAGTAGCTGGGGCTACAGATGCCCGCCACCACGCCCAGCTAATTTTTTGTATTTTTAGTAGAGATGAGGTTTCACCGTGTTAGCCAGGATGGTCTCCATCTCCTGACCTCATAATCCGCCCACCTCGGCCTTGCAAAGTGCTGGGATTACAAGCATGAGCCACCGCACCCGGCCAGTACTCTATTTCTGTGGATTCCAGTTACTGTGTAGTAACTTTCACTTCAGAGAATACTAAAGAACTAGTTTTTGTATTTCTTACAAAGCAGGTCTGCTAGTGACAAATTCTGTTTTTGTTCATCTGGGACTATTTTAATTTCTTCTTCATTTTTGAAAGATAGTTTTTCTGGACACAATATTCTTGTTTGCCATTCTTTCTTTCAGAACACAGACTATGTCATCCCACTGACTCCAGTCATCCATGGTTTCTTCTGAGAAGCCATCTTTTAATTTTATTAAAAGTCCCTATATGTGATAAGTAAGGTTTTGTTTTTTTCTTTTTTCTGCTGCATTCAAGACTCACTCTCTATAACTGGCTTTTGACTGTTTTTCTATGATGTGTTTTGGTATGGATCTCATGTGCAATTTGTTGAGTTCTTTGCATTTACAGACTAATTTTTTTCATTAAATTTATAATACTTTTAGTCACTTTTTTGGGGAAATATTCTTTCTGCTTCCTTCTCTCTCCTTTCCTTTGGGACTCCCATTATGCATAGTTGTTATGCTTGATAGTGTCTCATAGGCTTCTGAGACTTCATTCAATTTTCTTAATTCTTTTTTTTTCTTTCTGTTGCTTGGACTCAACAAAGCAAACTTGAATATAGGTTAAAATCTCAATTGAGATTTAATTATATTTAAATTATACTTTAAAATATTAATAATTAAGACTTTGACCTATATTCAGGTTTGCTGAGTTTTTAAAATCTATAATCCATAATCTGCTACTGAGCCCTTTAGTGAATTTTCCATTTCAGTTATTGTATTTTTCAATTTTATAATATGTATTTATTTATTTTTAATAATATCAGGCCATTTGGTGTGACATAGTCCTCATACTTTAAAAAATTTCTTTAGACATGATTTTTAAACATTTTGTAATAATTTAGAGTCTTTGGTAAGTCCAAAATGAACCATACTGGTTTCCTTAAGGACAATTTCTATTGACTAGTTTTTTCCTCTGTATGGGCCATAATTTTCTGTTCATGTATCTTAAACTTGCTGTTGAATATTTGACATTTTAAATAATATAATGTGGTAACTCCAGAAATGTTTCCACTACCTCCAGGCTTTATTGTTTTTCATATTTATTGTTGTTGCTGCTTCTGTTGCTGTTGTCTATGGAACACTTTCCTTGACCGATTCTGTAAAATCTGTGTGTGTGTGTGTGTGTGTGTGTGTGTGTGTGTGTGTGTGTGTTTCATGGGCAGACACTGAGATTTTAAAAATTTATTGAATCAATATGTTGCCTATTATTTGCTGAGATTTCTTTAAATGTCTTGAATAAATATGTTGCCTATTCTTGGCCGAGGGACTTTCAGCAAAGGGTAGGAGTATGTGTTGGGCATATTTTCAACCATCTAACAGTTTAAAACTTTGTTTTCATCTTTAGTTTGTGTTTACATTGGTCCTCAAGGTCAGCTAGAGATTATACAGCAGGGCCTTTTCAGGTCTTTTTTTGGGTGTTTACAGAGTTGTGTACATGTGCATAATCTTCTAGGCCCCCTAGAATATACTGAAGCTTTTCAAAGCCCCCATGGATATTTCATTACACGTATCTTCATTTTAAAATTTGTGGCCAGCTTCTTGTTGTCCCAAATGGTGTCACTACCTCAAGGAGCTGTTAACACTAAGCAAATGCCATACTTATTTTCAACAAATGCTGTGATGGTAGGGCTTTTTCCACTGAACAAGACCTGAGTCAGGTCAGATTATTGACTAACCGTGAGAATGGAATTTATCCAGGAAGCTTCCAAACAGTTCAAACAGTGATAGTCTGTGAAGATAGGGCTTTTTAGGGAGCTTAAAATCCATTCTTCCTACTCCAGTGGTTGTTAGACAGCCGATTTTCCTTAGCTACCATAGTTCTAATGCTGCTGGTTTTCAAACCTTCCGTGAAGCTGAAGATAGGAGGATGAGGACAGAGCACATTAAAATGTCAGAAAGCTCTTTGCTTTTCCTGAAATTCACAATTTTTTCTTGAGTTCCTTAAATTTATTTTGACAATTTTTGCTATTGTCCCAACTGCTTTTATGGAGAGATGAAATTTCAGAGATTCTTCTTTTTTATTTTGCCTTTCTGGAAGTATTCTTCAGTAGGGCATTTTAAACTATATTTTTATGTAGTCAAATGTATTAATTATTTTCTTTTATATGTTTAGCCATAATTATATTTTTAATAACATACTTAATATTCTTTGGGTAAATATATACACATATATATGTAAGTAATTCATGATACTTTTTTCTAGCATGTATATGATTTTATGTTTTACCTTTAGATCTCTGACCCTCTTGAAATGTCTCTGAATATACAATGTGGGGAATAGAACCACCTTTATCTTTTTCCCAAAAGCTTTATATTGTCCCAAGTTCATTTATTATTATTATTTTTTAAAGATATAGGGTCTTGCTCTGTTGCCCAGGATGAAATGCAGTGGTGCAATCTTGGCTCGTTGCAGCCTGGATCTCTGGAGCTCAAGTGATCCTTCCGCCTCAGCCTCCAGACAAGTCTACTTAAAAAATCCTTTTTCCTCAATTATTTGACATGCCATCATTTTTTACTCTAAATTTTCATATGAACTTAGGTACATTTCTGGATGTCTATTCTGTTTCATTTTTTATCTTCCGATTGAAATATCATCACACTTTTAAAGTTATACTATCTATATAATGTGTTTTAGTAGCTCATAATGCTTGTCCTGCCATTTTGTTTTATTTATAGGGTTTTAATGGTTATACTTCATTTTTATTTTTATCTTCATTTCATAATCAACTTGACTGGCTGGCTAGGGGGTTGAAGGTAACCTGATGATTTTTTTATTTGGGTTGTATTAAATTTATAAATAAACCTATGGAATACTGATATATTTGTGATTTTAAGTCTTCCTTTTCAAAAATATGATGTGTATGTATTTGTTTATATCTTTTTAAATATTTAAAAGTGCTTTATAGAGTCCCTCATCTAGGTTTTGTATATTTCTTTTAAACTTAATGCTTAAGTATTTGTTGCTTTTTTTTGTTTTAATGGCATCTACACATTTATTTTTCTCCAAAATGGCTATTATATAAATGCTATTAATTTTTGTATTGAAATGTATCTTGATATTTATAAAATTTTCCATTGTTAGAAAAAGTTATTTATTTTTAAATTTATTATTTTAGATTTTCTAAATAATTATGTCTTCTGGAAATTTTTTTTTGTTATTTTCCAAGTTTTATGTCATTGCTTTATCATGTCTTACTTTATTTACTAAGAATTTTGATATTGCTAAATAAGTAAGAAAAATTTGGACTTTATCTCCTATCTCTAATGAAGTAAAATCTTATAAATCAATTTTCTTAGAACATTATTGAAATATTCAATTTTCAAATTTATTTGCATATCATTATGCCAAGCAGTTTTTTGACCTCAGCACTTTTCACACACTGGGCTTGGTAAGTCTTTGTTTTAGGGGACTACCTGTGTATGGAAGGAGGGTAGCAGCATTCCTTCCTCTTCCTAGAAGATCCCAGACATTCGTAAGTGTTCTCAGATGAGGGTAAGAGAGTAAAATTGCTTTTGTTTAAAAACCACTGAAATAAGGTAGTCTTTTATGATTTTAAAAATTTCCTCTAATGGTTATTACTCTAAATATCTGTATTTGTGCTCCTTACATGTACTTTAATCCATATAGCTAATGATTTGTCTACATTGCTACCATAAACAATACCCAAGCTTTTTGATTTATGCATTTTTCTATTTTTGTTTTATATTTATTAGTTTCTAATTTTTGACTTCATAAATTCTTATTTTTTGCTTTATTTTGGTTTACTTTTTCTTTTTTCTTGCTTTTTGAAGAATGTGTGTGTGTATGTATGTATGTATATGTCTACACACACAGAGGCATATATAGTCAGTGAAGAAATTTGATCTAAAAATTTTCCTGATATCTTTATAATTTTATCTAATATATTATTATAGGTAATGTGTTCACTTTTTTATTAAGAGAGTTTTTTTTAATTGTAGGTAAGAAAGCATTTTTGGATGTGTTTTCTTTTTTGGTATTATAAAACTTAGTGTCTAGTTTTATTGCACTGTGTTTAGAGAATGCTGTTTGAATTATTTCTGTTTCTTGAAATTTAATAAAGTTTATTTTAATGTAGTCACTTTTTAAAACTGTTTACTTTATACTAAAAGGGAGATTTTTGTTGGAATATATATTATATAAGCCAATATATTAAATATATACATATATATACATGCACTCTCCCATTGATTATATCGTTTAGCTATTCTATTGCATTAGTTCAAAACTTGATATGTACTTATAGTACTACCATACTGAATACATCATTTAGATATTCTATTTTCTTTACTGAAGTTTTGTTCATTTAATCTGCCTTGAATGGGGAGATATGGATTAAAAACTACTATTCAGTTTTTGATGTTGTTGTTTTATTTCTCCTTCCATCTCCATTTTTCTCTAATTTCTGTTGTCTATAAAAATACAAAAGGCCAGGTGCAGTGGTTCATGCCTGTAATTCAAACACTTTGGGAGGAAAGGTAAGAGGATCACTTGAGGCCAGGAGTGTTCAAGATCAGCCTGGTCAATAGCAACATAGCAAGACCCCATCTCTAACAAAAAGAAGAAGAAGGAGGTGGGGGGAGGGAAGCAAAGATTGTGTCTCCTGCTTTTTCTTAGTGTATTTCCTGATTTTTAAACCATCTTTTTATTTTTAACCATTTTCTAATTCACTTTGTTTTATGTGAGCCCTGTATATGGCATAGAGTTATATTTTTCTTAGTATTCTGCAAATCTTTCCCTATAACAGGGGAATTAAGCCAACTCACTTTCATTGATAAGATAAAGGTTTGATCTCAGTTATGATTTTTTTCCTACATAAAAACTTTCACTATGTCATCTCTCTCTCTCTCTCGCTCGCTCGCTCTCACTCTCTCTTCTCCTACCTTCAGCATTCCACTTATTTATATTAAAATTTGGGGTTATTTGTGTACCAACACCTTTATGTAATGCCTTTGGTTCAGTTTTTATTAGGCAGTGGTTCCAAGCTAGCATCAATACTGAAATAAGTTAAAATATTTTTTCTCCCTTTTTCAGAGTGTCTATCTTAAAGGAATATCCTTTAATCTCAGTTTATACTAAGGAGACAAGTGGCATACTTTTTCTACTTGCCTTATGCTTTACCATTTTATTTCCAATTTGAGGGTTGTATTTTTACCATAATTATTATATACCAATTTTATTCTCTTTTGTCATCTTTTTGTACATTATTTATTCTTATTTCTAGAGTTAAATATAATCAGTGCTCACTGCTTGAACTTTTTGCCAAGTGTCTCTTATTCCTTAGTGGCCCAAAGATTTTTCTTTGGTATATTTCTCAAGGTGAAAACATGGTAAAACTATTATCTGAGTTCTTATGTATTCATAACTGTTTGTCTTTGGTCTTTATTATTGAGAATCTGTTTGGATATGGCATTCTTGGCTCTTATTTTCTTTCTTTAAGTACCTTAAATAAATTACTTCATTATTATCTGATCCAAGGTGTTGCAGTTAAGAAGTCTAAAACCAATCTGATATTCTTTTATAAGTGACTTGGTCTTTTTACCTCAATTCCTCAAAGACTTCTTTTTCTGTTTGATTTTTTTTTTTACTTTAATGTCTAATTGTTTTACTATGATATATCTTTGTGTTGACCATTCTGAATCAACTTTGGAAGGTACCTCACATGCCTATTCATTATGTAATCATGAGCCATTTTTTACTTCAGAGAAGTTTTCTTGGATTACAGATTTTAGTATTGCTTTTATTTGATTGCTTTGGTTTTCTTCAAGGACTCTTATTATGCAGATGTTGACTTTTTTTTTTTTTTTTTTTTTTGAGAGAGGGTCTCACTCTGTCACTCAGGCTGGAGTGCTGTGGCACAATCATAGATCACTGTAGCCTCAGACTCCTGAGCTCAAGCGATCCTCCTGCCCCAGACTTCTGATTGGCTATTTTCTTATTTACTGTCTATCACTTTCTGTGGATTGTTTCTGTGTTTCTTTTCATTTCTGTTTAACTTTTAATTTTTTACTTACCTCAATACTTTATTTTTATTTTTATGGGGGTAGTTTTATCTACTTACTTTTGTATTCCTCCTGTTTTAATTAGTTCACTCTGAAAGGTTTTTATTGTATTTCTAATTCTTTTACTGAGCTCTATGGTCTCATTTTCATTTCCCCTGGTTGTCTAGACATCATCTTATAGATTTCTGCTCTTATTTCTATTTTTGTTGTTGTTGTTGATCCTTTAGCTTATTTATATGATTTGGCTGTGTCCACACCCAAATCTCACCTTGAATTATAATAATCCCCATGTGTCATGGGCGGGGCCTGATGGAGATAATTGAATCATGGAGATGGTTTCCTCCATACTGTTCTTGTGGTATTGAACAAGGCTCCCAAGATCTGATGGTTTTATAAATGAGAGTTTCCCTGCACAAGCTCTCTCTTTCCTGCTGCCATATAAGACATGTCTTCTTCCCCCTTCAACTTCTGCCATGATTTAGAGGCCTCCGCAGCCATGTGGAACTGTGAGTTCATTAAACCTCTTTCCTTTACAAATTACCCCAGCTCAGGTATTTCTTTTTTAGCAGCATGAGAAAAGACTATTACACTTATAATATTAAATAACAGCTTTTCTCTGATTTATATCTATCTTTTTAAAAATCATGTGTTTATCCTTTTATGGGCACATTATTTTGTTAATTGCTATCATCTTTTTTTCGTACAATATATTTGTGTGGAATTTTTACTCTTATTGTTTAAATGAGATTGGTTTTCTCATACTCTTAGGAGGTAAGGGCTATGTAGAGGTAGAGGATATACTAGGATGGTTTTCCTAGTTTTGCAGCTCTGGGATACCTTCTGTTTAATATATAAACATGTTTCCAGCATGTTTCTTGGTACTTCTGACTTTCTTGTATTTTCTGAAATCTGCTTTGTTTGGTTCTTACATATGTCCACTTATATCTGAGAAGTTTCCCTTACTTACCCCTATAGTGACTATATTCTTATAATGACTGAATAACTTGAGTTTTACTCCAAGAAGTTTCTCATCAATGTAATGCTGCTTGTTTGTTTGTTTTTACTGGATACCTTAAAGACTAGTTATGTCCAGGGCACCCTATAACCTCAGATATTTTTGCTTGGTGGAGACCACTTATAATTTTATCTGTTTTTTCTGAGACAGTTCTTTTAAGCCCTTAACAGTTTATGGGGGATCCTCTCATTTTGGGCATAAGAACTTGGAAAAAATGTTTGAGTATCCAGCTGTAAGAATCATCATAAGTCCCATTGTTTTACTTCTATGTGCCTTGCTCAAAACGGGTCAATGTGAGGGCAGTTTAGCTCTTCTTTTCCCTATTCTAGATTTCATGGGGATACTTTGTTATTAAGTTTTTTGAAGGCGTCATTTATGTGTTATCCCTTTTGTTAGTCTAATTGTCTTTTTTGATTGTTTTGGTACCTCCATAGACACTTTGCTGAGCTCTTACTAACAATTTTGGAAAAAAAAATTATAAGGCTCTCTCTGGAATGAGCGTACCATGATTGATTAGTGTGGAGTGCCATAGGTTTGAAATAGAGGGTGGTAATGAGTTAGAGAACTGTAAATATAATGTATACTGGAAACAAGTTGAAGGAAGAAAGTACATGACAAAGTAGGTTGTCTTCACTTCTTTGTATTTTAAGCTGAATACCTATCAATTATAGTTAATGCCAATTTAGAACAGCCATCTTTCAAAATCCACTCTAGTAATAAACAGATAATTTATTGTGACAAGCTTGCAATTTCCTTCTAAACAAAATGGTTCAGGTGCTCCAAAAACTACATTGTTCTAGGTAGATGGTGCCACACTGCCACCTTTATAAGGAATTTGTAATAAAATTTCCTTGTCATTAGTTTATTTTGTATTTTTTTATATTAGTTATACCAGAGGCATTGTGCAAGAACTCTACTTTTTCTACTTTTAAGTAGAAAAAAGTACCTTCTATTATTTACTTTCTATTAAGTATCTTCTATTTACTATTTTGAATTTACAAAGATTTAATATGCTGAGTCGTTTCTTCTAAATACTATTAATATGAATTGAAATGAACAAACTTAGAGAGTTAATGCTAAGCCAATTAGAGTTATATTTTGGACCTGGATAGAATAAAACAATTTCCTTCAAGGTCCAGGATTACATCTATCCCTCATCTCTAATGCCTCTATGCTATTCTAGCAGTCTACTTTTATATCTGCTCTGTTTTATTGTGATTTTTTGTATCATATATGTTATTCTGTTTATTCATAGCTTCCCTAGAGTCACAAGTAGATGGTTTGACAACATAATTTTTTTTCTAATCAATCTTAAACTTATTCAATTACACATTTCAGATAGTAATCATACTAAGCCCTTTGTAATCATTTAGCATAAACAAATTCTCAATTTCTAAAATGTTGTCAACAACTATTTTCCATAGTCTCAGATATAAACCTCAGCATATTAAACTTATAAAAGTGAATATTTTATAAGTCTACAAGAAATGTAGACTTAGACAGTAAATTTTGTAAAAAAAAAAAACTTTTATCAGTGGAAATAGTATTATTCTTGGAACCTACAGGCAAGAAAGTACTGAAGTTACACGGAAGCATTATCATTACTTGGAACTGTGCTGGCCTAATTGAGGTTATGAATTCATAGCAAATAGAATGTTCCTAAACAACTTCTTCCATCTGCTTTTGATGTCCATATTTTTTTTAAAAGGAAACATATATTGTTTTATTGTAAAAATAAACTTGACCTTTGAAAATGTCTACAAAAATGTAAACACAATGATACTCTACAGTAGGTGTAAATGTTTTTCCTGATCTCAGGTTATGGTGAAAACAACACAATAAATTACCAAGAACGTATAAAGGATCAGAGGCAAGGGAGAATGAGAAATGGTGGGAAAGAGTTAATTTTCTTTTGAATTACATTTCTCATTTCAGACCCAAAAGTTCTGGATATTGTATTTCTACATTTAATTCTGTAATCAATTACTATATTCATCCCTTCTATCTGAACCAAATAATTACCAGCTTTGCATATTTTCCTTTGGATTTTTGTCACTTGCAACTAAAAGATTACTGACACATGTCAGTCAAAAAGATGGATTGGAATTATAAGTTGATTCAAAAGATCCTGTTAACTTTCTTAATGAGGAATATTTGTCTGAGTCACAGAACACAGGAAGTAATTTGGATGACTATATTCTCAATTTATTCCAAAGATGATACATAATTAGTATCATTCTAAATGCATAGGGAGGAAGGTAATTCATTACATAAATGTTAACTTAGGGCTTTAGAGTTTAATTATCTCAAGGAATAACAATTCCAAATAAGAAATGCTGCACAGTTTTCCTTAGCAACTGATTTTTTAAACTAATAAGCATCTATATCTGTTAGTTTACATTTTTTTTCTAAGAGGCAGTGCCATGTGGCACGTAATGTCTCAAATCCAACTACTTGAAATCAAATATGCCATACCATTTACTAACTGAGTGACATGGTACAAGTTAATTTCTCTGTGTCTCGTTTTCCTCATATATGGAACATGGGTAGTAACAGCACTTATCCCCTAGAGCTGTTGAGAGTAGGAAATGAATATGTGATTAGGAGATTTCTTGGTACATGTTGAGAAAAGTATTAATAGTTGTTGGTGTTGATGTTGTTAGCATACTTTCTATTACTATAAAATGTATCTTATTTTATTTCTTAGGATAGATGATTTTGGTAAATGAACACGATTTATTTTTACAAAGAAATCCAATTATTTTTCATTTAGTTTCTCACTTAATACATAATATATAAAAATTATTCTCTTGCATGTAATTTAAAAATCACTATGTTCCTAAGCAGTTTAGGCTTTAAACACCCTATTATAATTAAGGAGCTGTCTTTGTCTGTTTGTGTTGTTATAACAGGATGCCCAAAACTAAGTAATTTATAAAGAACAGAAATTTATTTTCTTACAGTTCTAGAGGCTGAGAAGTCCAAGATCAACGCACTGGTAGGTTCACTTGTCTGGTGAGGATTGCATTCTCCAGAGGAGAGGCACACTGTCCTCAAATGACAGAAGAATGGAGAGAGAGAGCTAGCAAGCTGGAGAAACAGGGAAGCTGGCAGCATGGCTCAGTCCGAGGCCAAAGGCCTCAGAACCAAGGATGCCATTGGCAAACTCAAAGTTTGAGCCTGAAGACGTGAGATTTGGGAGACTGATGGCTCAGTTCCCAAAGTTCCCAAATTTCAAAAGCTAGAGAACCTGGAGGTCTGAGGGCAGGAGAAGAGAATTCCTACTCCAGAAGATGTACCAAGAATTCACCTTTGTCTGTCTTTTTGTTTCTTTTGGCCTCAGCTGATTGAATGGCGCCCACCCACATTGAGAGTGGATCATCTCCACTCAGTCCACTGACTCACATGCTGAGTTCCTCTGGAACCAGCTTCACTGGTACATCTTGGGCAGCCCAGTCATTCTAATCAAAAGCAAAACCACTTGGGTTTCTCCTTCAGCAGAAGAAAGATGGGCTGAATGCTTACTGAAGCATTGAGAATAAATAATGCTTTACCAAATATATGAGTATCTCTTAATCTAGCCAACACTCAAAATCAATAATTGTGGGAGTCTTACAGAGTTTACTGTGGACTGTGACTCAATAGATAGAAGTGAGTATTCTAAGTTGATCTGGACTATGTATCATTCATCAGAGTACTGGGAGAATAATTTGGTTTGGGTCTGTGTCCCGGCCCAAATCTCATGTTAAATTATAATCTCCAGTGATGGAGATGGGGACTCGGGGGAAGAGATTGGATCATGAGAGTGGATTTCCCCTTTAGTGCTGTCCTCCTGATAGTGGTTTATTGTGAGATCTGGTTGTTTAAAAGTGTGTGGCATCTCCCCCCTCACCCTCTCTTCCTCCTGCTTCGGTCATGGTTATGTAAGATGCGTCTGATTCTCCTTTGCCTTCTACCATCTGGGGCCTCCCAGCCATGCTTCCTACACAGCCTGCAGGATTAGTGAGACAATTAGACCTTTTTTTATATATATAAATTACCCAGTCTCAGGTATTTGTCTATAGCAGTGTGAGAACGGGCTAATACAGAGGAGAATCACAGTAGTTTAACTGAATTGTAGGAAATTTGGTTTTTATCTCATAGATATTTGTGAATTCCAAATTTCTCAGGGCTTAACATAAGAAATAGTTGTTAACCTATATAGAGGAGAGAGAAATCCACAAATTTCCCTTTTGTTTTTAGCTTTCTGACCCTACAAAGAAGTCAGAATGTATTCGTAAGCATATTAGAATTAATATTTAAATTGATAGAGTAAAAAATAGACTTTAGGCATTGGCCTAGTTTTCCTTTCCCTGTTGTTATACTAAGTAAATAATTCAGATAATTTTATTTTACTTCATCTGATCTTAATGCAACTAATAAAGCTCAGTGTTAAATGTCATTACTGGTGAGTACCATAGCCTTGTTGACATGTAACAGAGAAGCACAAGCTTGGAAGATTTTTAGAATTAATCTAATTTATCCTCTTATTAATAAGGTGTTTTTGGAATTTGCTTTTTTTTTTTTTTTTTTTTTTGACTCAGAGTCTCACTGTGTCACCCAGGCTGGAGTGCAGTAGTGTGATCTCAGCTCACTGCTACCTCCGCCTCCCGTGTTCAAACGATTCTCCTGCCTCAGCCTCCTGAGTAGCAGGATTACAGGCACCTGCCACCACTCCCAGCTAATTTTTGTATTTTTAGTAGAGATGGGGTTTCACCATGTTGGTCAGGCTGGTCTCAAACTCCTGACCTCGTGATCCGCCCACCTCGGTCTCCCAAAGTGCTCTCATGAGTAAGCCACTGCGCCCAGCCGGAATTTGCTTTATAATATGAAAATAATAACAATATTCTTACTGACAAAAAGGAGGCCATATTTTCTTTAATGACCTAGTCTCAGAAATCACATGGAGTCATTTCCACATTGCTCAAAGTAGTTACAAATCTTCCCAGATTTAAGTGGATGGGGTTAAACCTCTTGACAGGGCTATGTCAAGGTCACAGTGTACAGGAACATGTGAAGGTGAAAGTTATTGCTGTGGCCACATATCTTAAGAGTGTGAAATAGAGTGAATGAGATACACAGGTGTGCAAACTTAAATATAACACAAAGTGCTACAGTAATATGTAATAAAATATAATCTAAAATATATTAATGTTTTACTCTTACAGTTCTAAGAAACCCACAAAAAAAAGGGAAGGTAAGAAAAAATTACGGAGTCTACATAAAATGTAGAAATTTACTCCACTTTACCTAAATTCAAATTGTTGAGCGTTGTTTTAAATTATGGGTAAAATTGACAGATTAATATAGCATTCTCCAAGCAATAAAGACTTTCTTCTTTAGGACGGATAATAGCCCTCACTGGTAAATATTATTATTAATGTTTTATGGAGAGGGAAGCTGAGGGTCAGAGATGCTGTGTGAATTTTTACATAATGGAGACAACTTATCTAGATCAGCTGTTTCCCCACTACTCATGTTTCAGTTTCAGAAAAAAATATTTACTACATTGAGTCCTATTTACTGAATGTTTCTCCACAGTTTCCTAAATACTTTTGGGCATTTTTGTTTTTCTGATATTCTTCAGTAGTGTTATACATTGTAATAGAATATGTTGACATAAATCTGTATCTGATAATATAATTACTATTAGCTAGAGAATGAGAAAATATCATTTGTGTATTATCTGCAATGAGCCAGGCACAGATCGAGATGTTTTCACATATATTATCTCACTTAGGCCTCAAAATTATGCCAGAAAATAGAGATTATTGAGTTCATTTTACATATGGGGAAACTAAAGCTTTGTTTCAGAGACTTTGGGGTTTGAATCTAGAAGTTTCTGACTCTACAACGCAGGCTTGATATTTCTAATAGAGCATGTTTAGTGAATCTAAATCGTGTAAAAGCTGTATGATAAGTAGAATTCAAAGAATTTTCATCTGAACAATTCAGAATGTCAAAATTAAACTAGAGAATTCCTGGGCAGTTTCTAGTTACCTTTACAGAAGACAAGACAAAGCTTCAAGAGATATCAATCACTAATCATATTTTGATTTTTGGATAAAAATGTAAATATCTTTGGATTCTTTTTTCTCATCTGTAGGTAGAGATGGTGTCCTGACATCAACTTACTGTCTTGTAAAATCTTGTTAAAGCTTCTGTTTTTGTGGCTGAAGTCACAAACAACCTTACCCTGAAAACAGCTCTTATTCCAAATATTTGCTATTTTCTTCTCCTCCTCCTCGTCCTCCTCCTCCTCCCCTTCCTCCTACTCCCCTTTCTCCTCCTCCTCCTCCTCTTCCTCCTCCTCGTCCTCCTCTTCCTCTTCCTCTTCTTCTTGTTTGCTTTTGAATGCTGTGCTTCAATGACCTTAACTCAGGTCATATAGTAAAAGTTTAGGGGGTACAATTGAAGCTGTTCGTGGTTTCTCCATTCTAAAAGCCACTTCTCTAGGAAACTTTCAAAATGTTAAATGGTGCTGCTTTGTTGAGGCTAGGTAGTAAGCAGTTTCCCTATCATGTCACTTTCAGACTCATCGTGTTTTTAGAAATGCTCCACTGTAACTAATGAGAATTTCACAGGCTCCTTCATGGATGTCACAGAATGGTCTGGCATTTACCGTGGCAAGGCTTTAACTTTTCGAGAATTAATAAAGCGTTTTACCATTAAGACATGTACCTTAAAATGTTTGCCTCAGCATATTCCAGTGTCATTAGCACCCCCGAATGTTCCATGATCATTAACTTTTTGAAAAAATTAATATTTTTTATTCTAATACATCTACAGCTGGGATAGCACTCAGTAATCTCAGTAATCAGACTGAGAGAATAGATTGAAAGCTTGAATTCTCATCAATGCCTGATAATATGGTCTCCAGACATGCATATTATCAGAATAAGGAAGTGATGATATAATTAATTCAATTCAATACAGTGAGCACACTTTGAATATAATCATAAAGCCATGAGCTAGGAAAATAATCCAGAAGTGCTGAATAAAAAGCAACTATTTTTGTTTGACAATAGAATTATATTTGGCTATAAATGTCTACTTTGTTTATGCTTTGTATTTTACATCAGTGGTACAACATGCTTTATGCGGTATTAGAGTTCAATATAAACCTTGAAGAAGCTGGAGTACATAATTTATTTCCTTTATTGTTATAAAAATCAAGTTTTATTTAAAAATAATCACACTTCCAGGATTATCACTTATAGCACCACAGGAAATCTAGAAGTTCTGAGTGAAAGTATTTATTTTGAGAAGCAATATAATTATATTTGGCCATAAATGTTCACATTGTTTAGGGCTTATATTTTATGTTTAGATGAGTTCTCATATTTAATTATACTGAAATATGAAGTCTCCTTACCTTGAGGGAGCAGTCACATTAGGCATGCCACATTCAAAAAGGATGACACGTGTCTAAACTTACCTCAGGCACACACCTCTGTGCTCTGAGCTATGCACTGAATGGTCTGGTGACTTAGTTTAAAAAATTATTTAAAGTTGCTCACAAATTGTAGCAAACACCCTAAGGGAGATGGTTTGGATTAAAGAATTAGGTTTAGATAATTCCTGTGAATTCTGTGTTTGCCTCTATTTTAACACATGAGAATATTTCTTCCAGGTTGATGAAGTTTATGTCTTTTTTTTCCGAATGGAAAAATATAACCATAGATAAGCTGTATATTATTTCAAATTCTCCAAAGGAACACAATTTAGAGTTTTTTTTCTAACATAAGAGCTACTCAAATGAAAAAAATGTAATAAGAAACTTCCTGGATACAAAATATTCAATAGTTGATGAGATAATATAGACTGGAACATTTTCAGACCTCATGCTTTGTTTAATTTTCAAACATGTTTTAGTCTTTAGATTTGCGATTGTCAATCAAAGACACAAACTATCTTTTTTTGGAAGGCACAGTGCTGTAGATGAAAGTATATTTTGCATTCACAAGATTATTCACATACACTTTTTCATTTTAGTCTCAACAACCCAGGCAGTGTAGTTATTATCTATTTTACATAAGGAAAAAAAATCAATGTCTTATATAAAAGTGACACCATAATAGTAGGGCATAGTGGTGTATACCTGTGGTCCTAGCTCAGGAGGCTGAGGCGGGAGGACCCCTTGAGCCCAGGAGTTTGAGACTGTAGTTAGTTATGATCACGCCACTGCACTCCAGCCTTGGAGACACAGAGAGACCCTGTCTCAAAAAAAAAAACAAAAAACAAATTGACACTGTAATAACTAGAAAGCATATTTTTTGCTGTACATTCATTGTTTTTTTTATTTCATACTTACACCATGATAGCCATCTGAGCCTCAGAAAGAATTACAACTCTATATAGCTCTTATAAACTGTCTCACTTTCCTCAAACCTCTTCAAGACCCATGATGTAGTTTTAACTCTCGGTAGGAAACTACCTGGCAAGTAAACGTCAACAAACAGAACAAAACAGTATTGTTGATCTGTTAAAGTTAGAGCACATGGGTGACACCAAGAATTACAGGTAACCAAAGAAAATACTTGATATTTATATCTATCATTACATATATTTATATCTATGTTTGTATCCGTATCTATATAATTTCTGGCATATGCAAGTAGTGGTACAGCCAATTCAATTATATATGAAGTCATATCATTTAGGGAAGTAGTTTAGGGTCAAAAACCAATGGACTAGTTCTCAGGTTCTTGTTAAATGCAGATTTCCAGGCCCCATCAACAACTGGTCACATCAGAATCTCTGTGGGTAAGACCTTAGAATTTGATCTTAACAATCTTTCAGGGAATTTTTATATACTTTAAAGTTTGAGAAGCACTGTCTTTCATGGTAAAATGTAGCCATGAAAAGAATGATTCTCTGAGAATCACAGTGAAATTATAAATACACTTTATCTTTCTTTCTCTTCCTGCTGAAATCAATGAAATAACCAAAAGCCTGGAACCAGCAAGAAATAGGGTATACAAACTTAAAAGTGATTGTCTCTTGCTGTGAAGATTTTAATCCTGGGCTCGTGGCCTTTTTAAAATTTGCCACCATGAACTATGTTGTTGACACTTTCAAAATGACTTTATTTTCACCTCCATGACCAGTCTTATCTTCTTTTTCTATCTTGTTATTAATTACAAAATGAGTTAAATTCAGAAATTTGAATAGACTTCCCATAAATAATATCCACATGCATTCTTAATTATAGGATTAGTAAGTAGAACTGGGAATGAAATGTCATGGATTTAAATGCATAATGGAAAAATGTTTACTCATTTATTAGATCTATATTAAATGCCTGTTACATGAAAGTCTTAAGACACATACAATGAAATAATAAAAACTAGCACTGACTTTGTCTCACTTTTGAGATGACATACATGTATAAAAATTTAATGAAAACTCTTTAGTAAATATCTAATTAAAGGTTGAGACAGAATGTGCTTTAGCAGTTGAGAAATGGAGGCCATTACTCTAGGTTCAATTTGATAGGAAGACTTCACAGACAATACAATTGTATCTGAACCTCTAGTAAAATGAAGAAATTTCAAAAAACAGTGATAAGCAGGCATAATATTCTAGACTTACTAAACCTTTCTACTTTAAGTAGGAACAAAACTTGGTTTTAGAATATCCTTCAATACATAATACCCTTAACAGAATATTTGGGATGGGGTGTGACCAGGGCAGACTATTTTGATCATAATACAGTTCCAGTTTTTTTTTTTCAGGAATTATTAGTATTTTCTAAGTAATTTTCCCTTTATAAGGCAAATAAACAAAGCCCAAGAGAATAAATATCAGTCAGCATGCACCAAATCTGAATGAATACATTAATATGCAGCCTGATGAGAAGTTAGGGCTGTAACGTTGATGGATCCTGCCTTTGTCAGGCTTGGTCCAGGACTCACTATGTGACTGGTCTTGAGGGCTGTGGATTGTAATGGGCATCAGACAGAACAGCTGCTAGAGCTGAAGAAATCATGTTTTGTATTTACCTTCAAAGTTTCATAACCATTCCCCAGAACTCAATCAACTCAGATATTTCTTCATTAAGATTTATAGAGAATTCCAGTGATATGTGAAAATGACCTTATTTTTTACTTTATATAGATCATTTTAAATAGAAACATATTCATCTTTCTATTCGTAGAAATGCCAAGGAAGCAATATTTTGGAAGATTTTACTTAAAAATGCTCTTACCTCACATTTCTTTACGACAGTATATCCCTTTTTATCATGGCTTTCAACCATTCCAGAAAACAAAAACTTTATCCTTTAAACATGAGTTGGCCAGGCATGGTGGCTCACGCCTGTAATCCCAGCACTTTGGGAGGCCAAGATGGGCAGATCACGAGGTTAGGAGATCCAGACCATCCTGGATAACACGGTGAAACCCCGTCTCTACTAAAAATACGAAAAAAATTAGCCGGGTGTAGTGCTAGGGAGGCTGAGGCAGGAGAATGGCATGAACTCAGGAGGCGGACTTGCAGTGAGCCAAGACTGCGCCAACTGCACTCCAGCCTGGGCGACAGAGCGAGACTCCGTCTCAAAACAAACAAACAAATAAACAAAAAAAATGAGTTATTGGTTTCCTAATGTATCAAATACTTAATGTGTTCTGGTGAGAATGTTAAAGAAATAGGCCAGGTGCGATGGCTCACGCCTGTAATCCCAGCACTTTGGGAGGCAGAGGCAGGTGTATCACCTGAGGTCAGGAGTTCGAGACCAGCCTGGCCAACACGGTGAAACCCTGTCACTACTAAAAATACAAAAATTAGCTAAGCATGGTGGCGCATGGCTTTAATCTCAGCTATTCGGGAGGCTGAGACATGAGAATTGCTTGAACCCAGGTGGTGGAGGTTGCAGTGAGCCAAGATCGAGCCACTGCACTCCAGCCTGGATGACAGAGACGAGACTCCGTCAATTAAAAAAAAAAAAAAGAAAAAAAGAGAGAGAGATAAATAAATAGACTGTGGCTGTGGCTTCTAGGATTAGGTGGACTTTGATGTGGGCAGAAGGGTTATTTCAGGAAATGAGAAAGGGCAAAGAGAATAATAAAAAGCTTCTGTACTTTATAGAGTTGTAGAGTTGTGCTATACTTCTTCCCATAAACAATATTACTGTCTTCAATTTGATGATACTTCTCCACCTCCTCTCCATCCCCTCTTTCCTTCACCACAGGGAAATGGTGAAAAGCCGAGTGCCTTTATTTCTACCTAACAACCAGAATCATAGATTTATTATTGCTTTGGCAGTAATAAACTGGAAGAAAGGACTTGAAGTACTAAGACCGAGTGTTTGTACCAAGAGCTTATTTCTGTTTGTATATCACTTACTCAGTAGCAAAAAAAAAAAAAAAAAAAAAAAGAGCACTTGAAATGAGATAAATACATGAGCACCTGAGGATGGTGAACCACTTTACCCTGTATATTAACATTCAGATAAATTTATGTTGTCAAATACATAAAAACAGTGAGGTTGACAAAAATTAATATATTCATATATAATATATTCATATATATAATATATTCAATAAAAATAAATAAATTATTTATTTCAGCAAAGTTTATTCAGCATGTTCAAACATGCTTTTCTAATTACTTAATTGCTTTAATCTCATTACAAACAGGCTTCAATAGAGCATGTGTTTAATATTTTATAAAACACTAATAAACATTCCATAAATAAAGAACAGCTTGTGAAAGGATGAGGCAATTTTATCAGTGTTGTAAGATTTTCAAAAGTCTTAAAAGAAAAAAAAAAGAAATATAAGGTTGATGCTGTGGCTCATGCCTGTAATCCCAGCATTTTGGGAGTCTGAAGTAAGAAAACTGCTTGAGCCCAGAAGTTCAAGACCAGTCTGGCAACACAGTGAGACCCTGTCCTACAAAAAATAAAGAATTAGCTAGATGTGTTTGTGGTTAGTCCTAGCTAATTGGGAAGCTGAGGTGGGATGATCACTTGAGGAGTTCAAGGCTGCAGTGAGCTGTGAATATGCCGCTGTACATGTGATCATGCCTGGGTGACAGAGCAAAACCCTGTATCAAAAAGAAAAAAGAAAAGAAAGAAAGAGGAAAGAAAGAAAGAAAGAAAGAGAAAGAAAGGGAAATAGAATTTTAAAAAGAATCAAAATTATTGACACCATATGAATTACCAGCAATAGATCTGGTATCTATGCTGACATCTCCTCTCTTATTCTCATATTTTAACATAACAACTTTGGTCAGACAAGCTCATGAGATAAAAAATCATTTTATCAAAGTAAAATGATATTTTTATGGAATGACAGTAGTAAATCCTTATGGTCAATAATAACCTTAAATATAAATGGATTAAGCTCTTCAATCAAAAGATAGAGAGTGGCTTAATGGATTATAAAAAGCCTATTTGCTGTCTATGAGAGATTCACTTCACCCTTAAAGGTGGGCATAGACTGCAAGTGAAGGGATAGAAAAAGATATTTCATGCAAATGGAAACCAAAAGTGAGCTGGAGTGGTCATTTTTATATGAGATTAAATAGACCAAGTAAAAAACTATGAACGGAAAAGAAGGCCATTATGTATTAATGAAATAATCACTTTAAAGAGGACATAACAATTGTAAATATCTATGTACCCAATTTCAGAACACACACATACGTAAAGCAACTATTAATATATCTAAAAGGAGGGAAGGGGTAGACTATAATATAATAATAGGGGATTTCAGCATCCCACTTTTCAACAAAGGACAGAACATCTAGATAGAAAATCAACAAAGATACATTGGAATTAAACTGCACTGTAGACCAAATAGATCTGTAAACATTTACAGACCATTTCATCCATCAGCTACAAAATAAACATTTTTCTCAACTGCATATGGAATATTTCCCGGGAAAAATAACATATTAGGCCACAAAACAAGTATTAACAAATTTAAGAAGTTTAAACTATAAATCACAACAATAAATACTTTGGAAATCTTACCGATACAAGGAAATTAAACAATATTCCACTAAAAAACCAATGGATCAATGAAGAAGTTAAAAGGAAAATAAATTGACACAAATGAGAATGAATACACCAAAACCTATAAGGCACAGCAAAAGCAATTCTAAGAGAAAAGTTCATAGCACTAAACTCCCACATCAAACAGAAGAAAGGTTCTAATAAACAACCTGATTATGCACCTCAAGAAAACAGAAGAACAAGAACAAACCAAACCCCAAAATGGTAGAAGAAAGAAATAAAAAAATTCAAAACAACAACAGAATGGAGAGTTAGTTTTTTGAAATGATAAATGAAATCAACAAAACTAGTGAAACTAAGAATAAAAAAAGATCAAAATAAATAAAATAGGAGATTACAAAAGGAGACATAACAACTGATACCACAGAAATAAAAATAAAAATGATCATAAGAAACTACTATGAACAACTATATGCCAAAAAATTAAAAACATTAGAAGTTTATAAATTCCCTGAACACATATAACCTATCAAAATTAAATTATGAAGAAAGAGAAAATCTGAACAAACCAATAATGACTGAGGAAATAAAATCAGTAATAAAAAGTGATCCATAAAAGAAAAGCCCTGGACCTGATGGCTTCACTGCTGAACTCTACCAAAAGTTTAAAGAAGAAATAATACTAATTCTCTTCAAACTATTGAAGAAAATTAAAGAGAAGAGAATATATCCAAACTTATTTTTCAAGGCTAGCAAAACCATGATTCCAAAACCAGACAAGAACATAACAACAACAAAGGAAACTACAAGCCAATATTTCTGATGAATATAGATTCTAAGATTCTCATCAAGACACTAGCAAACCAAATTCAACAACGCATTAAAAAGATGATTTAATATAATCAGGTGGGATTCATCCCAGGAATGTAAGGATAGTTCAATATACACAAATCAACAAATTTGATACACCATCCTAACAAAAAGAAAGACAGAAAACATATGATTGTTTAAACAGATGCCAAAAAAATGATGATTTAACGTTTTTTCATAATAAAAACTCACAAAAACGCTACAAAAAATAGGTTTAAAAATAACGTACTTCAACACAATAAAGTCCATACATGACAAACTCACAGCTAATAGCATAGAGAATGAAGAAAAGCTGAAAGCATTTTCTCTAAGAACTGAAACAAGACAAGGATGCCTGCTGTCACCAGCTTTATTGAACATAATAATAGAAGTCCTAGTCACAGAAATCAGGCAAGAGAAAGAAATAAAGGGCATCCAAATTAGAAAGAAGGACATCATATTGTCTCTATTTGCAGATGACATAATCTATGTGGAAAACTCTAAAGAAATAAATTTATCCACCTACAGCCAACTGATTTTTAACAAAGAGGACAAGAACATACATGAGGGAAAAGACAATTTAATGTACAAATTGTTCTGGGAATGTTGGATATCCACATGGAGAAGAATGAGACTAGGCCCTTACCTCCTGCCATATTAAGAAAATCAGCTAAAAATTGATAAAAATTTAAATGTAAATCCTGAAATAATGAAACTACTAAAGGAAACAAGAGAAATGCTTCGGAGCATGAAGTGGGCAAAGACTTTTAAAATAAGACCTCAAAATCAGAAGCAACACAAGCAAAAGTAGAAAAATGAGATTACATCAAGCTACAAAGCTTTTGCACAGCAAAGGAAACAGCAGAAGGAAGAGGAGAAAATGAATAGGAGAAAATATTTGCAAACTATACATCTGACAAAGAGTGACTATTTAGAATATACAGAAGACTTAACAGCAAAAACAAAAACAAAAAACCAAATAACCCAATTTGCAAATGAGCAAATGTCCTTAATAAACATGTAGCAAAAGAAGACATTCAAATGGCCAACAGGTACAGTAAAACAATGCCCACCACCGCTAACCAACAGGGAAGTGCAAATCAAAACCACAATGAGAGATACTACTTCATTCCAGTTAAAATGGCTGCTACCAAAAAGGCAAAAGAAAACAAATGTGGGCAAGGATGTGGAGAAAGGGAAGATTTACACACCATTGGTAGGATCATAAATTAGTACAACCATTACAAAAAATAAAAATAGAAGAATAAAATTTAAAAATGGAAGTAGTATATTATCCACCAATCCCAGTACTAAGTATATATCCAAAGGAAATAAAATCAATAGGTTGCAGAGATATCTACACTCCCATGTTTATTGCAGCACTATTTACAATAGGCTAGATAGGAAGTCAACCTAAGCATCCACAAGCCGATGAATGGACAAAGGAAGTGTTATGTGTATACGCAAATGAATTCTATTCAGCCATAAAAAAGAATGAAATTTATTGATTTGCAACAACATGGGTGAACCGGGAGATATTAAGTGAAATAAGCCTGAATCAGAAATACAAATATAATCTAACTCTTAAAAAACATAGTTGATATTATAGAAGCAGAGTATAACAATGATTACCAGAGACTGGGGAGCAGAAAAGTAAAAGGAAGATGAGGAAAATTTGGTCAACAGGTACATAGTTACAATTAGATAGGAGGAATAAGTTCTGGTGTTCTATTGCACAGTAGTGTGACAATTGTTAACAGTAAAATAGCTAGAAGAAGGACTTTTGAATACTTCCACCACAAAAAAAGATAAATGCACGAGGTAATAAATACACTAAATACCTTGATTTGATCATTATAAAACATATTGTGACAATTGTTAACAGTAAAATAGCTAGAAGAAGGACTTTTGAATATTTCCACCACAAAAAAAAGATAAATGCACTAGGTAATAAATACACTAAATACCTTGATTTGATCATTATAAAACATATATTTGTATGAAAACATCAAATTGTACCCATAAATATGTATAATTATAATACATCAATTA
This sequence comes from Homo sapiens, assembly GCF_000001405.40. Taxonomy (NCBI): domain Eukaryota; kingdom Metazoa; phylum Chordata; class Mammalia; order Primates; family Hominidae; genus Homo; species Homo sapiens. Next base: position 49,166,349 of record NC_000006.12, on the reverse strand, counting down.
AAAAATAAAATAAATAATAAAGTGTGTATAGAATTGCTATATTTCAAGAAGTGTGATAATGGTAAAGAAGGGATGGAGGACATATTATACCACATATTAAGGCTATAGTAAGGATGTTATATAAAACAGTGTAGTATTGGCTTTGAAACAGATAAAAAAGTTAAACATAAGAGAATGGAAAATCCAGAAAAGTCAAACATGGATAGATAATTGATATACTACAGATCAGTATAAGAAAAGGATTACCTTTAAAATAAATAGCACAGGTTAAATTCTTTATACATATGGAATACATGTATTTTTTATTACTTATACCACACACAAAAATAAATTCCAAATAGACTAGGAGAGAGCATATGAAAATCTTTCAGAAAACAATACCAGAGAATATTGTCATGACCCTAGGTTAAGAAAATATTTCTTAGTTAGGACAAAAGAAAATTAGCTATTAAGGAAAAGATTGACTAATTCAATTATTTCAAAATTTAGAACCATAGCTAATCAAAATATATGATATATGCAAATGTATCTGAAATATACACACTGAAATATATGTTTCAATGTGTATACATACACACACTGAAAAAGTAATAGTCATAGAGGTAAAACATTTCAGACATATATATCTGCAAATGACTTTAAAAAATTAATTCTGATAATTCTAGTGAAGATAGCTGACACTAGGCAAAAAAAAAAAAAAAATCAAAACAAAACAGACAAACAAAAAAACAAACCTAAATCTCAGAAGTGTTACAATAAAATTTTTCCATTAATATGAAGTGCAACTGGTGATTGGGGTGGGTGTGGGGATGCTGTATTCCACACAATCATTTAAGGACACAAACTGATGGAATCTCTGGTATCTTTAACACTTAGCTTTAAGGTCACTCTGGTCATTAACATCCAGCAGGAGATTGGGGAAAAGCATGGAAGAACATGCAGGGACATTATAGGCAGATGTAGAAATGGTATACATTACTTCAGTCCACATCCCAGTGAACAGAATTCATTTCGCTGTAAGGCAGAAGGGGAAATGTGGCCTAGAGCTGTGGTCCAGGAGAGAATGAAAATTATTTTGTCATCAACTGTCCAGACTCTGCCCCAACCTACCATTTTAGTATTCTCCCTAGACTAAAACAACCTCATTTTCTTTCTATGAATTATCCTCCAAAGTCCCATGTAGTTAAGTGCAACTGGATTGAGGCCCAAAGTTACCTGACAAATGTGCGGCTCTCTTCCCCACACCTGCAGGTATTTCTTTGTGATATTGCACTATAGAAATTATTTTTAAAAAATAGTCTGGCTGCCCCTCATGCTAATATCAGAGTTTGATCAATATCTAAGATATCATGCCAATATCAGAAGGGGAACAGGCCCCTCTTGTAGGCTCTACAGCTTTTACCTGTATCCTGTTCATGAGAATTTTGAACATGTTTGTGGTGCAAAGACTTTTTTGAGGCTTTAACAATTATAAGCTTTGCTTTAAGTTTGTGCATTTTTTTTTCTATCAATAAAATTCCCTCAAATACTTATTTTGGTTTTATCTCCTTCCACATATTTCCATGTACAATTATGCATACTCAAGTTCATTCCTGTATATTTTTTTCTCATATTTCATTGATTTCTTTCCTTCTTCTCTGTCTTGATTTTTCTTTTTCACCGGTTGTTATAAGCCATGCAAATTCACAGATGAAAAGGCTATATCCTTAATTTGAGTTTTGCCACAGAACTGACTTAGTAAATATTTTTAAATTTATTTTTTATTTCAATAGGTTTCCAGGGAACAAGTGATGTTTGGTTACATGAATAACTTCTTTAGTGATGATTTCTGAGATTTTGGTGCACCCATCACTCAAGCAATGTACACGGTACCCAATGCGCTGTCTTTTATCTCTCATCCCCCTCCCACCCTTTCCCCTGAGTCCCCAAAGTCCATTGTATCATCCTTATGCCTTTGTATCCTCATAACTTAGCTCCTATGAGTGAGAATATATGATGTTTGGTTTTCCACCCCGCGTTACTTTACTTAGAATAATAATTTTAACTCCATCCAGGTTGCTGTAAATTCCATTATTTTGTTCCTTTTTATGGCTGAGTATTATTCATAAATATATATATATATATATAAAATTTTCCTTATCCACTAATTGATTGATGGGTATTTGAGCTGATTCCATATTTTTGCAATTGCAAATTGTGCTGCTGTAAACATGCATGTGCAAGTACCTTTTTTGCATAATGACTTTTTTTCATCTGGGTAGATACCTAGAAGTGGGATTGCTGGATCAAATGATGGATCTACTTTTAGTTCTTTAAGTAATCTCCACACTGTTTTCCATAGTGGTTTTACTAGTTTACATTCCCACCAACAGTGTAAAAGTGTTCCCTTTTTTACCACATCCACATCAGCATCTATTATTTTTTTATTTTTTTTAATTTTGGCCATTCTTGCAGGAGTGAGTTGGTATAACATTGTGGTTTTGATTTGCATTTCCCTGATCATTAGTTATGGTGAGCATTTTTCCATATGCTTGTTGGCCATTTATATATCTTCTTTTGAGAATTATCTATTTATGTCCTTAGCCCACTTTTTGATGGGATTGTTTGCTTTTTCCTTGCTGATTTGTTTGAGTTCCTTGTAGATTATAGGTATTAGTCCTTTGTCAGATGTACAGATTGTGAAGATTTTCTCTACTCTGTAGGTAGTCTGTTAACTCTGCTGATTAGTTCTTTTGCTGTGTGGAAGCTTTTCAGTTTAATCAAGTTCCATCTATTTATCTTTGTTTTTGTTGTACTTGCTTTTGGATTCTTGATCATGAAGTCTTTGCCTAAGCCAATGTCTAGAAGGGTTTTTCCGATCTTATCGTCTAGAATTTTTATAGTTTCAGATCTTATATTGAAGTCCTTGATCCATCTGGAGTTATTATTATTAATTATTATTATTATTATTATTGAGACTGAGTCTTGCTTTATCAACCAGGCTGGAGTGGAGTGGCACAATCTCGGCTCACTGCAGTCTCTGCCTCCAGGGTTCAAGTGATTCTCATGCCTCAGCCTCCTGACTAGCTGGGATTACAGGCACCTGCCACCAGACCTGGCTAATTTTTGTATTTTTGTTAGAGACAGGGTTTCACCATTTTGGCCAGGCTGGTCTCAAACTCCTGACCTCAAGTGATCCTCCCACCTTGGCCTTCCAAAGTGCTGGGATTATAGGCATGAGCTACCATGCCCAGTAAAAGCCTTCAAGATTGCAACCTTTAATATCTTTTAAAATGGAAGATAATAAAATAAAACAGCCTTAAATACATTTGATTAATAAAGCATTTTTTTCTTTCATGGACTCAAGCTTAATTTATCTACTTGCATTGCTGAGAATGGATGAAGTGTCTGTAGATCAGTCTGAAATGGGTTCAGTCTAAAATGGCTTTTATCTGAAGTGCATATCATAAAGTCACCAATGGACAAGATTGATTACATCTCATGCTTTTCTGGGTCAGATCCTTCCTCCCCTGTTACTCAACAATTTTGAAATAACATCTCTATTAGATGACAACCCTATTGATATGGTTTGGCTGTGTCCCTAGCAAAATCTCATCTTGAAATCTCATGTGTTGTGGGAGGAACTCAGTGCAAAGTAACTGAATCATGGGTGCAGGTCTTTCTTGTGTTGCTCTCATGATAGTAATAAGTCTCATGAGATCTGATGGTTTTAAAAACAAGAGTTTCCTTGCACATGCTCTCTCTATTTGCCTGCTGCCATCCATGTAAGACGTGACTTGCTCCTTCTTGCTTTCTGCCATGATTGTGAGGCCTCTCCAGCCATGTGGAACTGTAAGTTCATTAAACCTCTTTCTTTTGTAAATTTCCCAGTCTTGGGTATGTCTTTATCAGTAGTGTGAAAACAAGCTAATACAGTAAATTGATACCAGTAGAGTGGGGCATTGCTGAAAAGATACCCGAAAATGTGGAAGTGACTTTGGAATGTGTAGCAGGCAGAGATTGAAAGAGTTTGGAGGGCTCAGAAGAAGACAGGAAAATGTGAGAAAGTTTGGAACTTCCTAGAGACTTGTTGAATGGTTTTGACAAAAATGCTGATAGTAATAGGAACAATAAGGTCTAGGCTGAGGTGGTCTCAGATAGAAATGAGGAACTTGTTGGAAACTGGAGCAAAGGTGACTCTTGTTATGTTTTAGCAAAGAGACTGGTGGCATTTTGCCCTTGCCCTAGAGATCTGTGAAACTTTGTACTTGAGAGAGATAATTTAGGGTATCTGACAGATGACGTTTCTAAGCAGCAAAGCATCCAAGAGGTGACTTGGGTGCTGTTAAAGGCATTCAGTTTTATAAGAGAAGCAGAGAATAAAAATTAGAAAAATTTGTAGCCTGACAATGAGATAGAAAAGGAAACACCATTTTCTGTGGAGAAATTCAAGCTGGCTGCAGAAATTTGCATAAATAACGAGGAGCTGAATATTTATCTCCAAGACAATGGGCAAAATGTCTCCATGGCATCTCAGAGGTCTTCACAGCAGCCCCTCCCATCACAGGCCCAGAGGTCCTGAAGGAAAATGTGGTTTCATGGGCTGGGCCCAAGGTCCCCATGCTGTGTGCAGTCTAGGGACTTGGTGCCCTGCATCCCAGCTGCTCTAGTCATTCCTAAAATGGCCGAGGCACAGCTCAGTTTGTGGCTTTAGGAGGTGCAAGCCCCAAGCTTTGGCAGCTTCCATGTGGTGTTGAGCTTATGGGTGCACAGAAGTCAAGATTTGAGTTTTGGGAACCTCCACCTAGATTTCTGAGGATGTGTGGAAATACCTGGATGTCCAGGCAGAAGTTTGCTGGAGGGGCAGGGCTCTCATGGAGAACCTGTGCTGGGGCAGTGCAGAAGGGAAATGTCAGATGGGAGCCCCCACAGAGATTCTCTACTGGGGCACTGCCTAGTGGAGCTGTGAGAAAAGGGCCACCATCCTTCAGACTCCAGAATGTTAGATCCACCTACAGCTTTCACAGTGCACCTGGAAAAACCACAGACACTCAATGCCAGCCTGTGAAGGCAGCAAAGAGGAGGCTGTACCCTGCAAAATCAAAAGGGCAGAGCTGCCCAAGACCATGGGAACCCACCGCTTATATCAGCATGAACTGGATGTGAGACATGGAGTCAAAGGAGATCACTTTGGGGCTTTAAGATTTGACTGCCCAGCTGGATTTTGGACTTGCATGGGGCCGGTAGTCCCTTAGTTTTGGTCTATTTCTCCCATTTGGAACAGCTCTATTTACCCAATGCCTAAAAGCCCACGTATCTAGGAAGTAACTAACTTGGGTTTGATTTTACAGGCTCATAGGCAGAAGCAACTTGCTGTGTCTCAGATGAGACTTTAGACTGTAGGATTTTTGAGTTAATGCTGAAATGAGTTAAAATTTTGGGAGACTGTTGGGAAGGTATGATTGGTTTTGAAATGTGAGAACATGAGATTTTGGAGGGACCAGGGACAGAATAATATGGCTTGGCTATTATTTCACTGAAATCTCATTTTGAATTCCTATTTGTTTAGGAGGAACCCAGTGGGAGGTAATTAAATCGTGGGGGTGAGTCTTTGCTGTGGTGTTCTCATCATAGTGAATAAGTTTCATGAGATCTGATGGTTTTAAAAACGGGAGTTTCCTTGGACAAGCTCTCTCCCTTTGCCTGCAGCCATCCATGTAAGAAGGTATGACTTGCTCCTCCTTGGCTTCCACCATGATTTGAAACCTCCCCAGCCATATGGAACTGTAAGAGACTGTGACAAGAGTCATCTTTGCTCCAGTTTCCAACAAGTTCCTCATCTTCATCTGATACCACCTCAGCCTGGACCTTATTAAACCTCTTTCTTTTGTAAATTGCCCAGTCTTGGATATATCTTTATCAGCAGTGTGAAAATGAATGAATACATCTACTGCAAACTCTATTGAGAATGTGATTGAAAAAAACATCTAATCGCTAGACAACTCACTCACTACTTACAGCCCAGGAACAATATACAAAAGGAGCTCTTCATAATTGGAATTCTGAATACTTAAAAAAAATAACATGTGCATGAGGAGAGTGTAGGTAGGCTTGCTATCACAGGACATTCATTCTGCACATTCATTTACAGAAGGAATTCCTATTTCTGACATTTTGATTTTGTGATCCTGGCCTTAGTTCCATTAAAAATTTCCATGGTTTTTGAACACATTCTAATTTAAAATGAATTTTAATTCATTTGATATGGAGGAATTTCAGGAAAATTAAAATAGCCCTTAAGAGAAAACATAATGGAATTTAGCAAACTAGAATTAGGAACCTCTGACTGAATTACTTTATTTTCTTTTCATTTGAAATACATTCCTATTTTTCTTCTTAATTCAGTCTGATATATATATTAACATTATAAAAGAGGTTTGTCCTTTAACTTTCTCATTTTGAATTATCCATTTATCTTATTACCACAAACATATCCATATGTCTTTATTTATAATATATGATAAATATACACACAAAAAATAATGGTTCTTTATTTTTCATATTCAAATACAGCACATTGTTTCCCCAAATAAAAGTTTAAAATAAGCTTTACTTACAGTGCTACATAAAAATGCTTTTAAAATGCATTCTAAATTTATTATTATGCAAACATTGTGAAAGAAACAGTCAATATTTAATAGAAAAAGATAACTAGTGAGAGGCTAGGGTTATTAGGAGGCATCTTAGAAGTCCACCTACCATACTTGCTCATTTTCTTTTATATTGCTTCATCAATAATATGGGGGCCTATATAATAATGTGTAATATATTGTACTTTTTTTGTCCTAAGCATTTGAAAACATATTTCTGGGATATTTATATTATGGAGCAGACAAAAATCTCGTTACTCCAATTGAGGAGAACAAATGAGTTTTTAAAATACTCCACAGGCTATAATTAACTTTTAAAATCCCCAGTTAACAGATTTCTTTAGCAATTCAACTGCTATTTAAATTCACTTTATTTAATGCAAGGACATTTAAAAACCATTGGCCGAAAGTTAATGGACAATAACAATCCTGTTAATTTTTGAGAAATTATAGTCATTTATAAACGAGTGCTTTGACAAAAACATTTTGTGAGCTGTCCAAGGAAGACGTAAGTTTCCTTTCTGATATATTTGCTTTTGCATTTTTTCTATAGTTTTTGGGCCACACGCATGACATCCACTGACTTCCAATTTAGATCCTGATTTATTTATCTAAATGAAAGAAATGAGCATTCTAGTTTTAGGTGGAGGTCACTTTGAAGCAGGCAAATCTAGGATGTCAAGAAAGGAAAGGAGGGAAGGATAGAAGGGAGGAAAAGACACCCTACACAGTTCCAATATCTGTGTATCAAGTACTGTGTGTTCTCCTTTTCATTCTCATTCGGATCTTGATTACTCATCTGGTATTTACAGTGTGGGCTTTTCATATATCTTCACATTTAAAAACTTTTTTTTTTTTTTTTTTTTTTTTTTTTTTTTTTTTTTCTGAGACAGAGTCTTGCTCTGTCTCCCAGGCTGGAGTGCAGTGGTGCGATCTTGGCTCACTGCCAGCTCCGCCTCCCGTGTTCACGGCATTCTCCTGCCTCAGTCTCCCAAGTAGCTGGGACTACAGGCGACCGCCACCACGCCCGACAAATTTTTTGTATTTTTGGTAGAGACGGGGTTTCACCGTGTTAGCCAGGGTGATCTCGATCTCCTGACCTTGTGATCCGCCCGCCTCGGCCTCCCAATAAATAAAAAACTTTGAGACAGCCACACACATGTTTTGTAAATGAGGCAAGTGAACCTTAAAAAGGGTAAATAACTTTTCCAAGATTTTAAAATTAGCAAGAGGCAGAACCAGACTTCACATCCAATAGTAGCTTTTTTCTTACAAAATGATATTAGGAAAACAAATAACATTCTTAGGGGCAGCAACAACAAATGAAACAAGCATAACTAAAATATTAAGAGATAAAAAAACTCCATCAATCTTACTTCAAATCAAAACTCAGTCAGGCAGAAATTGCTGCTCTCATCAAATGGGCAAATGCTCCTTTCCTTTGACTCTGTGGGGCTTTTTGTTCTCTAAAGCAGTTTCAAGGAAGCTGGGGAGAAATCAGCTTCAATACGTTCAAAGTAGTGGTTCTTGCATAATATTAGAACAAGCAGATTAATTTCCAATACAACAAGTGCTTTCTAGGTGCATGTTCAGTATTTATTTTCAAACACTGAACTGACAATGCTGAAGTGAAATAGAACGAAATTGTTCTAGCTTGTGCACTTCTTATGTGTCATTTGCCACTTAACCTGCTCATAAAATTCAATTCTATTATTGATATATCTGGACTATCTTCTGAAGTTTTTATGTAAATTTTTAAAAAATGAATATGTTAAATTACCTATATAAATTATAAGATACTACAAAAATATCAGACATTACTTAGTATTGCTTCATGGGAAAATCAGGAATCTGGGTGTCAGAAAATCTGAGTTTTATTTCAAGTTTTACTGTTACACGTGTTACTTTGTATAATCCACTAATTTTTCTGTATCCCAGTTTTTTCTTCTACTAAATGATCTGTAACATTCTAAGTCTTGCTACAAGATAGAGACTTGAAAATAAATGCTCCTATTTCTAGTGCATTTTTATAAGTTCCCAGTTTTCTTTAAACTTTATTCTTGGTAAGTCTGCCCCCAAAGCCTCTAGTTTTCATGATTTTCCTTAGAGAGACTTTGTTTAAAATAATTTGTTTAACAAAAGAAATTTGTTTAAATGGGCAGGGTTGTACAGTCCTTAAATATATAAAGGTAGACTTAGGAATGTTCAAGAGTTTTGTACATACAGGAAAGGAACTTAGTGAAAACATTTTTTTCCATATGTTTTAAAGTGGAATTGTTAAATGAACCAATCCTCTGTGAGACTTCTGTCAAAATGATAGGACTTTCAACAATTATGTCTCACTGACTATTGATTAAATGCAATCAGAGATCTCATGGCTTCTGAAATGCAAGATATCTTTTCCAATAAAGAATCATGAGATCACTGCCTATGCAGTAAAATGAAAGACACACAGACATAGACACACACACACACACACACACACACTCGCACACACACAGAGAGAGAGAAAGTTTTCAAATAACTATCAAAGGATTTGCTTTCAGTATTATCAATTTATTTGGCTAGTAACTATTACTTAGATTTTCTCTTTTCCCTTTTCTGTAGATTCATTTAATGCCTATCATTGTAAAACTAAATTTGTAGGCAGATGCCTTTATCTGAACTACGTAATTTTTCGCAGTGAGTTAAGGGAGAAAAAAACTATGTATTTATATTAAATTTGGTCTATTTTTTCACATTTGTGTCTATATTGATATCTCCAAGCGTCTTTATAATTTTAGCATTCATATTCTGAGTATCTAGAAAAATGGGTTTTTGGCAACAGACTTAAAATACAGATTAAAATACAGGAGATTTTGAAGTTTCCCTGGACCTTCAGCCTTACCAATCCTTAGCTCATGGTTAAGTGTGTAGTCTCTTTGTCTCAAATATTTCAAAAAACTCATAAATGTCTGAAAAGAGAGATTGATTCTTTGGTCTCCTAACATCAGAGAGTAGGCCCAGAGTCATGTAATTACTAGACGTATGTATGTATAATATTGAGCAGATCAATAAATCATTTTTCACTTTAGTTTCATAGTTCTATGATCTGAAGTTTATTTGAAGCAGCAAATCCCTGTGAGTTCTGGTTCACACTCTGTTTGTTTTTGGAAATGATTTGGCCTCTCTGATATAAGGCATGTCTATACCTTCTGAGGTTTTAATAAACTGAATCCTTCATGTCCCACAAACTTGTAATCATGCCTACGGCTAACCTCTGGGTTGAGAGATGAGGTTTCTTTTATGCTAGTTTCCACCTCTTGAGGCACGACCGTCACTCAAATTTGTTGCATTACTGGATTCATCTCTTTTGGCACAATACAATATAAAAGTTTGGTGTCACTTGGGTTGTGTCATGTTTGAAGTCATAGCATTAGTGCTCAGCTTACCTATTCAGAAAAGTAGGTCATGAGGCTCAAGTATCTTCATCTCATTAGGAAAAAACAGAAATACTTTAAAAATTCTATTAAACTAATAGTAATCATGATGGCCTTACATCTTATTTATCCTTGTATATATATCTGAGTTTAGAATTTTCATAAATGATGAGAATATTAGTATTTTTGATGAGCAAGAAAGAATGTAAGCTCATCCATGCTAAACAAAACATAAGAAAAAAAATCTTACACTATATCTAGCAATTCACAGACTGGACCAAATAGATTGGCTCCAGCATATCCAGAAGAATTAAGAGTTTCACTAAGTATTTCCTAGAAATTCCAAAGACAAATCCAAGACCTAATGTAGTATAGGCATGTGCAAGATAGTTTGTGAGGTGACATAGATAAATATCTGAATAATAGTACTATACATTATCTTGGTTTAATTTAAGAAATCTTCAACATGCCTACCTGCACTTTCTTTAGTAAATTTATCTCAATTTTTGACTCTTGATTAAATAATTTAATCTGTTTATTTTCTTCACCTCTTCCTTTAATAATGAACCCTAGCATTTTCTGAACGGTCCCTCACTAATAATTATCATTCTGGGTAGAGAAAGAAAGGCTAAGTAAGCTTCGATCCTGTTTTCAACTGAAATAATTATATTTCTACTTCTAAGAATGAGGAGTAATAACAATAGTAAAAGAACAGCAGGTTGCAGGCCTCACTGGATTGTTTTTCTATTGCTGAGACTTAACTTTCAGCCCCTGAGCATCTTTCAGAATAATCAATGACCCATGAATTAGCCCATTCCTGGTTCTTGTATTCAAGTGTCTTGTCATTATAAATGGCTCAATACAGGGAGATAATAAATGCCCCATCTATATGAATGGAATTCATGACGGAGAAATTAAGTTGAAAGCTCTCAGCACTTAACTCTGTTTTATGTGCAATAGTTACATTGATGTAAGGAAACTAAAAATTCCTTTTTATAATGAAATAGCCATGCTGATAATTAAAGGAGAATGTTTAACTTAAATTGCAAGATATATTTTCTTCTTGGGAAGAATGTACACAAACGCTGTTAAAGTTAGCTTTAGGTAAAATAGCAAAGACAAGATTACTTATTTTTTGCATATTTGCATATCTTAAATGCATGTTCATACGATCATTGTTGTTGCTAATTAATTAATTAATATTTGTGGAAAGATTGAATGAAGAAGTGCTAGGTTTTTCAGCACCCACCTCCTCTTTTTGTGAAGTGTATAGTCTAAGAAAAATGAAATGAAACACAACCTTTTAATAGAGCACAATGTGGGTAATGTTCACAAAGAACAGTGTATTATAAGAGTCAATATAGATCAATCCGCAGCCATTGCTGTGGAGATCAGCATAAAATGCAAAGGACAGACTGATATGTATGATGTTTGTGCTCCCAGGGATCTGCAAACTTTTTTTGTAAACGACCAGGTAGTAAATATTTTAGGCTTTGTAGACCATATGGTCTGTGTTGCAGGTATTCACGTTTACCAATTTACCACAACAGCAGTCATAAAGTAAACAATATATGCAAAACAAATGAATGTGGTTGTATGCTAATAAAACTTTGTTTATGAATACAATTTTGAATTTCACATAATTTTCATGTATCCTTATTTTTATGTTGATTTTTTTCAATTGTTTAAAAATGTGAAGCCCTTTGTTAACTGGCAGGTTATATGAAAACAGGTGGTACTTGAGATTTGGATTGCAGGCTGTATTTTGCTATCCTTGATCAAAGAAATAGGTAATAAAATAATGATTTTTAGGTCTGACAAATAGAGAAGAGGAAATAGATAATGATATTTATTCACTGAACTGTTAATGCATTTAATTTAATTATCACAAATATTCTGTAAGGGAAATAATGTAGTTTTATTAGGACTCTTTTACAGCCGAGTAAATAAGCTTTTCTAAAGTCCCAAGACTAGTGATATATAATTTTCAAATTATTTTTTTGACAAGTAAATGCACTCATTGGGTAATGCTAAAAATTTGTCTATGATGATCAATTTATTGAGAACTTTATGCTAGATTATTTTTAGGTTTGGGATACACAGAAGAAAAATGTCATGACATCAATCTTCAAAGAACTATTAATCTATTGGGGAATGTGGACATGTGAATAACAAAAAGAGAGTGACAAAATAAATCTTTATATATTTCAAGAAATATTTATCAAATAACTTTCATGTACCAGATTCTATTTTACATGTTGAGGAAGTAGTTCATGGTTCTGGCTCTCCTAGATTTTATATTCTATTGGTATAAGACACAATAGGTGAAAAAAAAAAAAAACAGAAATAGCTTCTGCTATAAGTATTTGAAGAAAATAAAATAATAATATAATTTGGAATGACTGATGTGTTATGGATTGAGTTCAGGAAATTTCTTTTTATAAACATGCCATGGAAACTGGGATTTGAATGATAAGCAGGGCCCACCATGTATAATCTGAGAGAAAAGCACTGTAGGCAGAGCGAATAGCAAGCATATAAGTTCTGAAGCTGGAACAAGTGAACCATGATGGAGAAGTAGGCTGACAGCCACTGTAGTTGGCATAAAATAAGAAAAGACAAGAGATATATCTGCATTAGAGACAGATATATAAGGTAAGATCAGAAAAGTAGACAGGGGCTGAGTAATCTAGGACACTTTCACTTATGGTAAGAAGTTTTGATTTTGTGTTCCATATAATGGTAAAATTTGGAAGGGTTATAAGTGAGGAATTGGCATGATATAATTCTCACTGACTGCAGTGTGCAAAATGGATTGGAGAAGAGCGAAGGTGGAATTGATAAAACTAGTTTGGATACCATGGCAGGAATCAGGCAAGAGTTATGTTGGCTTGGACCCAGATAATGGCTGTGGAAATAGAAAAGAAAATGTATAATTCAGGATTTAATATTTGAAGTAAGAAAGCAATATATACATAGACTGGTTTTAAAATATTTAAAATACTTAATTTTAAAAAATCTACTTTCATGCTCATTAGTCTATTATCCTCCCTTCCGACTTTTAATAATCACTGTTATTCACTTGTACAAGTAATTTTTTAGAAATTTCCACTACAGAAGTAAGTGTGTACATAAATATCCCTTGTTGACTTTCTCTGATCCTTAATATATTATTAAATTTCTTTTACTGAGGACAGTCTTTCTTCTTAATGCCTATTTACATAGTTTATTTTCTTTGACAACTTTTATGAGATCTATCGTATTTTGAAAGAATGCCTATGGAGACATAAACCTCTTGTGTGCAAAGGCTTTATCGCTTGCAACTCTCAGCCAATCAATTGCTTTTTATGTTGTTGTGGCAGTTCTTAATATTTTGCATGCAACAGAATCATCAAGAGAGCTGGATAAATCACAGGTTACTGGACCTCATTCCCAAGATTCTGATTCAGTGGAGCTGGTGGAGACTATGGATTTGCATTTCTAACAAACTCACAGTTGATAATGGTTTATGAACTACACTTTAAGTTGCACTGGCTTGTGTAACTTTTCTTTGCTCAAAAGACTTCTGATCTTAATTATCTTTATATTCTCATATGTTTAGCTACTTTTTTCTCCAAGTTTCTTACCATTTATTATCAAGCATGCACCTTCTTGTATTTCTTCCACTTTCAATTCATGGGAATTCACATTATGGCTTATTTACCCAGAAAATTTCTTGTGAAATAGACAATAAATACAAATAATTATTTGGTATTACTAAAGTCATGCAAATGCCAAAAAAAATGTTGTCATAACACAAAGACATGAGTTGGACATACTTTTATTCTATATTGAAACATTCCTCCTGAGTTTAACCCTAGCTCCTAGATGCTTTTGGTCTTCCTGTGAAAACATTATATTGTAGATTATCTCAGTGGTTTGAGTGTTGAGACTAATGAGACCCCACATACCAAGGAAATTTGAGAAAAATTTTATTACACAAGTGACTTCTATGGAGATAACTGGTATAAGCTGGTTCAGAATGGTGTTAATGAAGGAGTTGGTATATTGGCTTTGGTTTTTACTGTGGCTAACAGGGGGTATACATGTTAGGGTTTCCACATACAGGATGGAGTTTGCATAGTGGTTTGAACTTTCCTATGAAACCGAGACAGGAAGGGTATAGATGTAACTATTGACTTACTCAGATGTGGAGCAAAAGCGAAAGGGAAATGGGAGGAACTAGGGAGTTGTCAATGGCGAAACCAAAAGTCAAACTCTTTATTAGTAGATCTATTGGGTCAAAATTCTTGATTGTCAGTCCTAATTTGAAGTGTTTTAAATATCTGGGAATTTCAAAGAAACGAATTAAATTCAGGGTAAATTTTTTCATCTTGCAAAAAATACAGACTCTGATGAAGTCTGTGGAAGTGGTGTTGGAGAACTTTGATAATAGAAAAGACATTGATAAGTGAGGATCTGATAGAGCTAAACGATTAACAGTTGGGAAAAAAAGGAACAAAACGATGACATAAAATATATTTCAAAAGAGAATGATTTTGTATAACCACTTAAAAAAACAGTTTGACAGTTTATTTTAAAGTTAAACATACAACCACAATGTGACCCAGAAATTCCATCTCTAGGTATGTAAACATGAGATTGAGAACATATGCTCACAAACGGAGTTATTCATAAAAGTTTATATCAACATTATCCCTAATAGCAAAAAACTAAAAACAATCCAAATGTCCATTACTAGGTGAATAAATAAACACAATCTGTGATATGGACACATAATAGAATATTACTCAGAAGTAAAAGGAAAGAAACTGCTGATATATGCTGCAATGTAATGAATCTCAAGAATATCATGCTGAGTAAAGGAAACCAGATGCATAAAAGTCCATGCTGAGAGGCGGGGCCAATTTGGCCGACTAGAAACAATGGGCCATCAGAGGCTCCCATCAAAAAGAACCGTAACAGCGTGTGAATCTTGCACCGGCAACGTAGGTATCCAGGTTCTGTCATGAGGACTGACTAGGTGGCTGGTGTGACCCACAGGGAGGAAAGAAGAGCAGTGTGGTGTCGCAGCCCACCTGAGAGCCGTATGGGGCAGGGGAGTCCCCACCCCCCAGCCAAAGGAGGCGGTGAGTGAGTGTGCTACCCAACCTGGGAAAACGTGCTGTTTCCCTGGAACTGTGCAATCCATGGATCAGAAGATTCCACTTGTGAGCCCACGCCATCAGGGCCTAGGGTCCCAACCACGGACCCGTGCAGATTCTCAACAGCCATTCAGAGAGAATCTGCTTAAGTTTGCTGAGCTCCCAGAAGGGAGGGGCGACCAGCACCACAGTTGTGGCTGCTGTCTAAGCCATTTGAGCTCCTTGGGGGAGAGGTGACAACCAACAAG